>NC_000006.12:164616244-164767759 GCF_000001405.40 Homo sapiens
TACTTCTAAGCTATGTATTTTGTTGCATTAATACTTATGTCTCTTTTTTTTAAAACCAACACCAGACTGTCTTGATTATAGCAGAGTAGATAAGATTTGAAATAAATTGTGTGAAATTTCCAACTTTATTTCTCTTTTACAAAACTGTTTTAGATAGTCTAGAGCCACTGATTTATAATTAATTTGTAGATTTTCTAAAAACCACTCCTTCATTTTTGATTAATGCGGGGTTGAATCCACAGGTGCATTTGGGAGAATTTATATCTGCTCTGGTCTGAATATGCATCCCCTTCAAAATTCATGCTGAAACTTAATCCCTACTGTACTTGTATTAAGAGGTAGGGCCTTTTGGGAAGTGATTAAATGTTGAGGGCGCCCCCCTCAGAAACTGATTAGTGCAGCATAAAAAGGCTAGAGGGACTAGTTTAGGCCCTCTTCGCTCCTCCACTCTTCGGCGGTGTGAGGACTCCTAGAAGGTGTGATCTATGAGAAACAAGTCCTGCACCAGACACCAGGCCTGCCTATGCCTTGATCTTGCACTTCCCAGGCTGCAGGGCTGTGAAATAAATTTCTGCTCTTCATAATTTAGCCAGTCCAAGGCCTTTGATTATAGTAGCAAAACCAGACAAAGACAATATCTTAACAATATTGAGTTTCCAATTACTTTGTGTGGTATATTTCTCAATTTTATTGTCTTTATTTTTCTCTCATCATTAAATTTGTTATTTTCAGGATAAACATGTTGCATATATTTTGTTAGATATACTCATAAGTCATGGGTTTCATTCCATTGTAAATAGCACTTTTGATACATTAAATTCCACTTATTGATAATATATAGAAATAAAGTTAAATTTGAATATTAAACTTATATCATGTGGTCTTACTATATTCACCTATCCTCCTTTCCCCTCCCCTCCCCTCCCCTCCCCTCCCCTCCCCTCCCTTTCCCTCCCCTTCCCTTCCCTCCCCTCCCCTCTCCTCCCCTCCCCTCCCTTCTCCTTCCCTTCCTTTCCCTTCCCATACTGGGTCTTGCTATCTGCTCTCAAACTCCTGGGCTCCAGTGATCCTCCCACCTGGGCGTCCCATCACTTATATTTTTCTAATAAATTTTTAATGGAATCTTTATAATTTTGATATAGACAATCCTCTTCTACAATGAACGATAGCTTTATATGTTTTCTTCCAGTTGTAAGTGCTTCTTTTTCTTGCCTGAATACACTGACTAATATCTCTGGTAAAATAGTCAAGTAATCAGAAGGAAGTAAATGATAAATAGTAGAAATCAATAAAATCAAAAACAGTAAAATGATGGGGAAAAATCAATGGCTGGAAATAGAAGGAATACCTTTATGCCAAAAAAATAGATAACATTCATGAAATGGATAAATTATAGGAAAAAGAGTGCTGAAGAGCACTTACAAAGAAATAGATATTTTCCAGCTTGTAGATTTTCTAAAAACTGCTGCATTTTTTATTAATGTGGAGTTGAATTCATAGGTAAATTTCAGAGAATTTATATCTGCTGTGGTCTGAGTATGTGTATTTCTTTAGATGTTCCTATGGTTTGAATGTTTTTGTCCCCTCTGAAATTCATGTTGAAACTTAATCCTCAATGCAACAGTATTAAAAGGTGTGGCCTATAGGAAGTAATTAGGAGGTGAATGAGATTAGGTGTCTTTATAGAAGGGTTTGACAGAAGGAATTCAACTCTGTCTCTCTCTCTCTTTTAACCCCTTCTATCCCTTCCACTATGTTGAGGGCACAGTGTTCCTCCCTTCAGAGGACACACAAGGAGCCCTCCTGGAAGCTGAGACCAACCCTCACCAAGATACTGAAACTACAGTGCCTTCATCATCGATCTCCACCTCCAGAACTATGAGACATAAATTTCTATTCTTTATAAATTACCCCAGATACTGTTATGACAACACAAATGGACCAATACAGATGTCATCTGACATTTTCTGCATTATATATTTTTATAATCTAAGAACCTGCCAAACAGCTGTATACAGATGTGGTTAAGATTTTAGTTAGATGATTACAGTTTCTTGGCTTGGAGCATAGTTTCTATTCTTATAGTGAGGTACGGTTTATTCAGCAGTTTTTCTTGTAGGTAAAAAGAGATTTTAAGTGTTTCCTGACTTGATAGTTTTCTGTGTTTTTACACAGTTTCCTTAGTGCTTCTTTCTAAGCTTTCTTTCCATAGATTTTTCAGTGTCTTCCTTTGGATTTTTCCAGTGGCAAGTTTTTTTTATTTATTTGATTCTATATTATTTGTTAGTATTTTACATTTTAGAGTGGGCCTTACTTCTCCTGTATTTTTTTTTCTGTTTTCCTCTTTAAAGACTTTTTGTGTCCTCTTTAATATATATTTTATTATTATTTCTCTTTTTATTAGATTAAACCTGCCTTCTTATTATGGATTTTTAACACAACCTCCCTTGAACTCATGTAACTCCCTCAAGTTAGAATCTGATATTTCTGTTCCCTTTTGCAGTAAGTCCTACCTATATTGACTGTCTCTGTCTATTTTCTCTTATACTTGTGCCCCTAAGACATTGCTTCTACGACTTCATTGACTTTGCTATTTTCTTTGTGTCTATTGACTTTCTCATTGTTAAGTCCAATCCTCAGTTCTCACCTTAACTACTCAAAAACAGCATTTCAGATCACTGTGTTTCTTAAGAGAATTTCTTCCTTTGGACTCTGGAGCCCCACGTTCACTTTACTCTTTCTTACTTAACTAGATATTTTACCACAGTTCGCATTATATGAATGTCCTCTTTTGTTCAGCTTCTACACATGAAATACACCAGAAATAAGCTCTAAAACTCTTTGTTTTTTAATCTATAGTCTTTTCATCCAGTCCTATAACTTAGATACCACCAATACCTTGACAAATGCTAAACATGAATCTGAGATCTTTTCATGTCCTGCAGGAATATCCCTGGATGTTCCTTCATTCGGGTTACCTCTATCTAAATAATAGCGTCTGTCACTCTCTTTGACTTCTTTTTCTCAGAGAATGACAATGTCACCCTTTTATTTGCTCAGTACAAATCTGAATTCATAGATTACGTGTCTCTAAAGCTAGAAACATTGAAATCTGTTAAGTTAGTCAGTTGATTTAACAATTCCTTTTATATATCCAAAGTATGTTTTATTTAAATAACCTGAAATTACTATTATTAAATATATAATTGTTTTATGAGTATGCTTTTCCTCACACATATTTATGTAAATAATGTAATGTCTGCATCTTGATGTTCCAAGTTGGGAATAGAAACCTTGATTCTGTCATGTTCTTCCTTTGAAATAAGCTCAGTGAACATTTCCTCACTGTGCAGATTTGCACACTTGCCAACACCTACCCACAGTATTAATCTTTCTTTCTGATTGACTTGTGTTTTCAATGCACTCAATGGACAGAAACAAACTTGCCTAGATATCACAGAATGTATTTCTTCCCTTCGAATTCACTTTATGTTAACTTGGTGAGATATGCTGACTTTGTGGAATCACTGCAGCAACTTGTAAATGATGCATGAAAATAAAATGAAAGACCCCTGCTCAGGGCATGAGGCAATCAAAACCTGTGCTTTGCTGCGCTATTTATGTGTAGTCACTACACCGAGTGCAGTTATGGCCTCCAAATTTTTTCCATTGAGTGAAGAACATCCCCAGCTATAAATTAAAAACATGACCCTCAGACTTTCATTTTTTTACTAGCAGTACTTTAAAAGCCAGTGGAATCCTAAAACAACCGTAACAACAGCAACAACAAACCTGAAATGAGTTGTCTAATGCATTTAGTATATTTACACAATGGTGTTCTCTGATCTGGAAGGAAGGATCAGTTCAAAGCAATAAAGTGTCATGATGATCAGACTTTTAAAAGGTTTTATTGAAAACAAGTCCTTAATATAGTTTAAGGATAAGGTAGTCATTTATAACCTGCTTCCTCAAGGATAGTGGATATATGCTCCCACTTATAATAAAGAGTTCAAACTCAAGTTCCAATAAGGAGAGAAATTGTAGTGTTTATTAAAAATATGAAAACAGAAGTATACTTTATATAACCATTTTTTAGGGAAAGACTCTCAAGATGAATTTATGATTTTAAATGCTGAAAAAGTTATTATTTTCACAATGTACCGACACATAGAATTTAGAATTAAATTATCAAAATTATTGAACAGATTACAAACCTTTAAATAATATTTATGTTTTACTTTTTTCATGGTCCATAGTGAAACTGAAAAACAGTTTTTTTGTTGTTTTTTTGATAATTTTTTTTTTTTTTACAGATGGAAGTACTTAATCTGTTGTTCAATTGTTGTCAATCTCTGTCCTTTAGAAGAAATCATTATTTCTTTCTACTGAAAAATTGAACAAACCTCCAGTTGGACAGAGATGAATTGTTTCCTTGGACAATGTCCTTGTTCTTGGAATATATGTATCTTTGGGTTAAACACATTTTTCTTCTTCACTAAGCTGCCAGAGGGTTTAATTGAATACAAGAAAAGAATGAAAATGTTATAGGTTCCACTTCGTACACCACGCCCAGTGTGCATTCTGTCTTGCTGTTTTTCAATTTATTATCTCTGTATCCACACAATCAGTCACAAAGCAAGAGACATTTGGGTTTTTTTTTAATGTCTGTGATAGTGACACTGTGTCATATACCACTGAGAATGTGACTAAATCAAGAATAATCCAGAAATTAGTTTTCTATTTCATATTTAAATATGCTGAAGGAATGAAAATAAGTAATCGCAACTTCTTTACTATTGTGGAGAAAGAAAAACGAAAGAAACTCTTCATTAACCTTTCTCAAAAGACTCAAGGCATGAGACAGAGGGAACATTTTAATCTACTGAGGGTCTGTTCTGTGTCATTGTTGGATTTTCATAGGATTTTACCAGCAGAGAAAATTATAAACCCTGGAATTAGAAAAGCATGATGTGGGAGAATCAGATGAGGATGGAATTAAATTGTCACAGAAAATTCAACTATACTCTATTACCCTTCAAAAATGCTGCAGAAATGTTTTTGATGTTTATGATTATGTAGTAATTCTTGTTTATTATGAAAAATCTTTCATAGCTTCAAAAACCTTAATAAAATGTTTTAAAGCTTGGAAGTATCTGTATCTTTTAAAAAATTATTTTGAGAAACTCTATTTTGTCTTAAAAGGTGGTTTTCCAAATTATCCACCTTAACTCATCACACATCTTGATTGTTAGTATAATAGGAAGCTCTCCTATACATCTAGTTTTCTTATTAACATATCTACTTTTGAATCACATTTAGCTTCTGGCAACCTTATCTATTTTCATTACATTATTAGTAATATATTCAGATCCTGAAAATGATTTGGTTCAGAATTACAAGAGCAAGAGAGGCCGCTTTCTCAAGTCTTTTGCCATCCTTGTGGAAAATATATTTTTCACCCCTACCTCTCTGTAATTTCTACCTCTGATAATCCAAGTTTAAAACAAAATTTAAATATAAATAGCGAAGTGTAGATTAATGGTATGGTATATGGTTTCTTAGGATCTGTGTTCTGTTTTAGTTATAGAAATTTTGACAAAAACTTATTTGGCTGTGTCATGAATTCAATTGCAGAACCTAACGTTACTTCCTGGAGGAATAAGTTTTCCACAGAAACATTTTGCATAATTGGAAAACTTCTCTTGAGTGAGGTATTATGTCTTTCTCTCTTGTTCCCATCTCCACCTCCTGGATGTAATGCATTTCCAGGTCAATTCCCACATAGTTCTGATTCTTTCTACTCCACTTGCTTAGGAAATTTAGCAAACACAGCTCTTGCAGACAATAATCTCTGGACTATAGCTCAGCATTTCATCTTCACCTGAATGGTATATTTCAAGATTAATATAGGAGACATGACTTAGTATGCTAAAAATACCCTGAACACTCCCTAATATTATTTTTTTCAGATACCTTCAGAAAGTCAAATGAGAATTTGGTGTACGTTTCAGTGTCTTTTCCAGATTCTCTTTAAAATGTATTCCATTACTATTTTCTGGATAAAATAAAAGTTGCTATCTTTATTGGCATTTTAAAAACAACCACTTAAGGCAATTATAAAGCAAAACAAAAAAGCATAACACAAAATACAAAGAAACAAGTTAAAACAGTTTAGGAAAAACATTTTGATCTCGTTAGAAATGTGGGCTTGCAGTTCTGAGAGGATTTATGATATTTTATTAAATTCTTAGTTAACTTGCCTGCTTCTTACTTTGCATGGTATGCTCTTGTTGCATCTAGTTAATAATGGTCCTTCAATATGTTTGCCTAATAACTAAATGAGAGATGAATGATGGTTAGAGCAAGCGGGATGGTTTGGGGAGTGAATGATCACATCTCAGTTGAGTAAATGCTTTTCTATTAAATCAGGCCATGGGTCACACAACTTATTCATTTTTCTTTTTCTGTTTTAAATGAATAAATTGCTCATCTTTTCAAAATGTGGTGAAATCAGCTGTCAATTGAAATATAAATATATGGGAGAAGAATAAATATCACTATGTTTCTTCGAAATAGACTTTTAAAAAATTGTGTACAAAGGTGCTTCTTTTGAATAACATTGAAAAAAATGTCTAGAATCCTGAAATCAATTTTAGTATATATTTTATTCTAATAAAATATTTTTATAATTTGAATGCATTGTTTATTTATTTTAGTACATATTTATATTATAATAAGAAATTTGGGGGAAATAGCAAAGATCTACTCAAATAATACAAGATTTTTTTTGAAGCCAACTTTTGAACACAACTGCCTCCTCTTCCTTTATGAAACCTAAACTGTATATTTATCCTGATTTTTTAAAATGTTAGGATTTACAAAACTTGGATGACACCAAAGACAAACTTGAGAATCGAAATGCAAAACTAAGGATTGCAGAAAGAGCTTGTGTCACCGAAATATGCCAACCCCTGTTGAAAAAACTAAATTGGTACCATCTGAATCTAACCAAATACCATTGCCTTTGAAAGACCGAGAAGGTTCTGATCAATTGGGTTGAATCCTCTAAGACAGAGAGAGGAAAAGAAGAAGAGAATGAGCAAGAGTTTATCCCCATGCCTCAGTAGAGTTTGTTAGCCTGCCCAGTTCACTCTTTCAAGCCAGACAAGCCTCACCCACTGCCTTCACCAGTTTTGAAATTGCCACCTCTTAGAGTTGCCCAGAAAACAGTTGTGAACCCCAGTGAGTCATGAAAGAAAACTGGCAGTGCATTTAAGGTTATCCAACAGATGCAACGGGGATAAGGACTGGGACAAGTAACAATCAGCAAAACATAGCTGCTCAGGAAAACTGTGTTAGTAAGTGCTCTCTAGAGAAACAGAACCAATGGGATGTGTACACACGTATATAGAGAGAAGTTTATTTTAAGGAACTGGCTCATACAATTATGAAGGCTGGTGAACCCAAATCTGTGGTGTGGGGTGAGCCAGGAGGCTAGAGACTCAGAGAAAAGGTGATGTTGTGGTTCAAGTTCAAAGGCCTTCAGACTGGTAGAATTCCACTTTTTTTTTCCAGAGGAAGTCAGGCTTTTTAAAATGTATTTATTTATTTGTTTTTTATTCAAGCCTTCACTTGAGTGGATGAGGTCCACAAACATACTGCAAGACAATCTGCTCTCCTCAGTCTGTCGATTCAAATGTTTATCTCATCTAGAAACAGCCTCACAGAAATATTCAGATTAACATTTGACCACATATCTGGACACTGTAGCCCAGCCAAATTGACACATAACATTAACTATCACAGAAACAATGTATTTAATAGGCAAGAAAAGAAAAAGGAGATAAAGGAGAATCATAAAAAAGATAAAATGAAACTAAAAACAAGCAAACATCATTTATTAACTCAGATATCAATAAGAGAAATCAAGCAAAAGATAATCTTTTTTGCACCTGTATTAGTGGCCTTGAGGATCACATGACTTAATATTTCATGCCCACAGAGCAAAAATACAAAGTGAATGAAATCATGAGATTGCTGGGAGATGCAGATGATTGTAAGTCGTTGAAGTTCCGGTAAGAGAAAAAGAAACACATGTAGGATAGATTAAGAATTATATAAAAAACAGAGGAAAACGCTCATGAGTTAAATAAATATCTACAATTGTAAATGTAAAGAATGTACCTAAATCTAGACAGAATTGATATGAAAAAGAACATACTTTGGCTCATTCTGGTTAAAACCAATTCCAATCTTTTAGACCAAAAGAACTTATTTTCTTCAAAGGAAAAAATATTAGACTGACATCAGGCTTCTTTTATGCAACTCTCAAAAGTAGAAGGCAGTGAAATAACATCTAGCTTACTGAAAGAGTAAGATTGCAAACAATGCAACAGTCACATGTTCAGACAAAAATAAGTTTACAGACATTAAAAAAGTCAAAACATATAATATCTACATTTTTCTCTAAATTAAAACTAACATATTATCTAAAATATATAAAGGTGTTAAATTCGAACTCCTGAAGCATGGATCCAGGTATCAAAGAAAATTCTAATAAATATTTTAAATATATTAAAATATGTCTGAAAACAAAAATCAAGGTATTTCAGAAAAAATTAAGGTGGAGTATGGGTGTTTCGGGTTTCATCTGAACAGAGATGGTGGGAAGATAGAAGAAAATAATTACGTATCTACACAGACACAAATTGTATATACATATACACACATATGTGCGTAAGATGTCAGTTTATCTTAATAGATTGAGGCATATATAGTACGGGTAACTGCATTTTAGGCATATAAATAAGCAATGAGAAAAGAAAATAATTGGTTCGATCATAAATAGTTGATAACACAGAGGGATCAATAGTTGAATTGGTACCTCGATAGTGATAGTAGTTGCACCAAGCACTGAAGAACAATTAGTAGAGAAACGGATTTTGTATTTAGACATATAGGAAAGAGAAGGTAAAATTAGTAGGAAATACGATAAAACAGGTAAATGTAGAAAGATTAGCAGCTTGACAAATCAAGGAAATGTAAGAAAAACAGATAAAGGAACAAACCATTAGAATTAATATTAGCTAAAATAATAAAATGAGGTATAAAAGTATTTGGTGAAGAAGGTAGTAGAGATGACAACTAAAATTTTTATATCTTTCTAAATACCCACATAATTACGGAACAGTCAAAATTATACAACAAATTTTAAAAATGTATGAACAACATACACAACATAACTGGATAATAAAGTATAACCTTTAAATACAGCAAAGTAGGGAGAAATCACTGACTACAGAAAAATTAAATACATAATTGATATCTGTAGGGAGAAAGCAGAAGAAAGCAAGAGGGCATTGATTGTAAAACAGGAAATCCTCAAGGTAACTAAAAGAATTGCAGGCGAATTTGAAGACAGCTCCTGAAATGAGAAGTGTTTGGTCCAAGGCAGCAGAAGGTGAATTCCAGGAGTCCCTCACTGAAAACTGAGAACAGAGCACTGTGGCCACCATGAACTGTCAACACCATCCCGCAAGGGCCCCCTTTCCACACAGGACTTCACACTGCGGAGAAATTACTGAGAGTGGACTTAAAATTGGTTGGAATCAAGGTAAGAGAAATAAATAAGGTATAGATGAAAGTTAGAAATATAAAGAAGGAGAAAACATGAGACATGCTGTAATGTTTCTAAAACTCCACAAAAATAACAGAGGGAGAGTTAGTTGAAATTAGAAAAGCCATCCAAACAGCCAATTTCTACAAGTTAAGTGAGGTAAAATTTACATAAAAATGAGCAATAAACTATATAAAGGTAAAATTTCACAAGCAGTAATTATAATACAAATTATTTAGGAGACCAAAGATTTCCCCAAAAGAATAAAAGGATGCAAGAAATAAATGCATAAAATAATAATAACTCTAATATGTGATTTCAGACAAATCCAAAAGACATAAAGATATGACATCAAGTAAGAGCATAATTTAGAATAATAAATTATATGGGAGAACTCAAGAAAAATAGGCATATAAGGCAAATATAATTTTAATACTGAAGAATAAAATTAGAAGGAACACAACAGCAAACATACAAAAATTAATACAAATGGAAGGTGAAAAGAGAAAATTTTAAAAAATTAAAATGCAATCAAAAGATTAAAATAACTTTCAAGAGAAAAGAACATATATGCAAGATAGGCTAAGATGATTCGACACGCAGAGAACAAGAAACCCTGAAGATGAAAACTAAGCAAAGAAAAAGAAAAAGTTCTTAAACTATAATTCAAGTAAACTTTTAAAAATACATATTTTTAAATAGCTGAAACAAAAATTGAAAACAAAGAATACCATACATGATAATGTTGCTGCAGAATAACCCACACCAATGTATATTCTGATAAAATTACTAGATTTGAAAAAATAAAGATCTTTCATGTTTCTAGGCAAAATGACTAAGTAACATGAAGAGAAACAAAATTAGAATATCATCCAAATTCAATGGCAACACTTTATCCAACGTAGAATGGAGCATCATATTTAAGACTCCCAAATAACTATGTAAACCGTGAAAATGGACCTTGAATATAAAGGGCAAGGAGAAGATGTCACATCCAATTACTCTCAAGGGAATATTACTCCCATGAATGCTTTGTAAGGAATCTACTGAAGAATTCACATCAGAAAACCAAAATAACTAAAGAGCCATTTGCATGAGGACGAATAGTTAACATTAAATATACTGAATAATTATTAATAGAACCAAGATTAAATGGAGGCAAACAAATGGGAGATTAGAGTGTTTAGTAGCTATACAATCTGAAAATGTGGATAGAGCACAAATATAAAAATGGGAAGATAATGCAGATGGAATATAAAAGGTTAACTGTTTCAGTAATGATAATTAGTAATGTAGTATTGGTGTTATTATTCTGAGACACATGTATGGGCAATAGTCTAGTACTA
Source organism: Homo sapiens (assembly GCF_000001405.40). NCBI lineage: Eukaryota > Metazoa > Chordata > Mammalia > Primates > Hominidae > Homo > Homo sapiens. The sequence continues at coordinate 164,627,207 of NC_000006.12, forward strand.
TCATTTCCTATGACCTGGACAACTAGAATTCTTAGTGTAAAAAAAGAAGATACACATATAATATAGAAGATAAGAGGCTAGGTGTGGTGGTTCATGCCCGTAATCCCAGCACTTTAAGAGGTCAAGGCGGGCAGATCACTTGAGGCCAGGAGTTCGAAACCAGTCTGGCCAACATGGCAAAACCCCATCTCTACTAAAAATACAGAAATTAGCAGGATATGGTGGTGCATGCCTGTAATTCCATCTACTCAGGAAGCTGACGCATGAGAATCCCTTGAGCCCAGGAGTCAGAGGTTGCAGTGAGCCGAGATCGTGCCACTGCACTCCAGCCTGGGTGACAGGGCAAGACTCTGTCTCAAAAAAAAAAGATATGAGATGTGTAAGTGTGTAAATATATTTCTGTGTGTGTGTTAATATATATATTTATATGTGTATACATATATAATTATATATAAATATATAATGTATATTTAATGTATAATAAATATATATGGATAATATATGTATAATAAACATATATATGTATATTTAATGTATAATACATAATGTATACATATTTCTATAAATATATTTAATATGTATACACAGGTATACATATTTCTATATGTATAGAAATATGTATACCTTAAATATGTATAAACATGTATATTTATATAAATATACATATAAATATGTATATAAATATATAATATATATAGATGTATATATAATGCATATTTATATATGTATTAATATGTAAATATATATTATATAATATGTATTGATATATAAATATATATTCTATAATATGTATTTATATATAAATACATATTATATTATATATATATAAATATATATATATTATATAATATATATTTATATGTTAAATATATATTATATAATATGTTCAATATATTATATATAATATAAATATAACATAATATATTAATATAATATAATATATTAATATAATATAACAATATAATATAACATATTAATATAATATAATATAATATAACAATATAATATAATATAACAATATAATATAATATAACAATATAATATAATATATTAATATAATATAACATATTAATATAATATAACAATATAATATAATATATTAATATATTATAACATATTAATATAATATATTAATATATTATATATTTATATTTAAATATAAATATACATTATATATTTATATACACACACAAAATATATTTTTATATATTTATATAAACACACAAAATATATTTTTTACATATATATGGTGGCAGAGAGATCCTGGGATGCCCCCAGTGATCCTCACCTCCTGAGGTTCAGATTCCTATGCAATCTTCATTCCCTGACTGTGGATTATGCTTTTAGCCAATAGACTATAGCAGAGATTGGATGTCACATTTGGTATTAAAATAATATTACATAAGACTCCATCTTGCTAGTGGATTAACTCTAAGAACTCTCCTTTAGGTCTTGATATAAGCAGCCAAATTAGGGAAGCTCACATGGCAAAGGACTTTGACAATACTAGTAGCTAAATACAGCCTTCCACCAACAGCCAGCAAGAAGTCAGGGCTCTTGGTCCTACAATTGCAAGCAGTTGAATTCTGCCAACAACCCGAGTGATTTGGAAAGTGGGCGCTTTTCTCATTGATTTTCTACATGAGAATACAGCCCAGTGGACACATCAGTTTCAGCCTTGTAATACCCTAAATAGAGGACCCAGCTAAGCTTTTCTCTGACATCCATGTATGCTGCTTTAATTTTGTAGTTTATTTGCTGTACAACAATAGAATATATGGGGGTGTATTTGTATTTACAATAAAATTCCAGGCGTAAGCCAGTAAAAGGACCTAGAATTAAAAGCCAAAAAGCAATAGTCATCATTTATGCCCATATAGTTTAGATTTTGGACTTCAAATACCATTTTTTAAATCTAAAGCAACCAGATCTTCTTGAAGAAAGAGATTAATCTCTATTTTGAGAAAGAAAAATGCAGGAAAAACATATAAATAAAAAAATTGTCAAAGATTACTAGGTGCATATCCAAAGAATGAAGGACTGATTTGGAAATGCACTCACTACACAAAATGGGACAATTAGAAATATGACAGTGATAAATATGCAATGGATTGCGGCCCACCAAATACACTCAAATGATAAATGATATTAAATGAAAGGATTTAGTCACCTTCTGAAGATGTTAGGAAAGCAATTCATTTTTTATTAAAATTGAGCATTTATTTTGTTTTTTTCTTTATGAATTGTACCAATGGACAACTAAATAGATTAAAAAAGAATCTCATTAGAAAATTATTTTACCAAACAAATAAAAAGACAATAATAACATTGTAAAAATCCCATCTTTATAAGCATTTGCACAACTTAATATATTGAAGATATAGAAATTAAACAGTAACAATATCAGCAAAGCATGGAAACCATTCTGAGTCTATACAATGGAAATCATAATAATACTATGTAAGCCCATGGCAAGTTGTATTTAGTGTGTAAGGGTTTCTCACACAAAGAAAGCACCACATAAAATTTACTTATTTTTATTAGATAGACACAGACATACATATACAGAGATACAATTGCCCCTTTATCAATATAAAAATGACTATTAAAATACACACATAGAATGTCCTTAAGTTTTTTTCCTGCACCCTCTATTCTCTAAAAAGTTTAAATCAGTATTTCATTAGCTGTACTTCAATATCTACCAAGAATTCAGTGTGCTATGCAAGTTTAAATGTGCTTGTCTATTTACTGTGTGTGTTCACATACACTCTGGGAAAAGGGCAGTCTTAGTTTAATCTTCAGAAATACCTGCTAAAATCAAACTTCTCCACACCACATGAAATCCCTCGAATAATTTTCCCCTCTTGTGGCACAGTGTTTTCAATACAAGGTAATGCAGTGTCAAAATTGGCTTCTTCCCAAAAGTCTCAGAAGCAAGTCTTCACTTTCAACAGTTTCTTTTTCCAACTGTGTCAGAACGGTAATTATAATTTGCAAGGTAATGCAGGCAGGCAGACTTTTGTTTCAGGTGAAGACATAACAAAGGAGAATTATGAATATTATCAGGGCATTTTTTAATGTGCTGCTAAACCCGAAAGTCCTTGCCAGTCTGGCTCTGGCTGACCTTGCCTGCATTGAGCCCCCTCTCCTCTCTTCACTGCTATGATCTACTCCTGAGAGCCTCCTTTGCTGTTTTGAATATGATCTTATAACCCTTGACTGCCTCTTCACTTTTATACTTGCTGTTTCTGAGCCCCGCAATGATCTTGCCTCAGCAATTTTTATCACTGCAGTGTAAAAGTTCAGGAAATGAGAACATGTTGAGTCCATTCAGTTCATTGAAAATAATATGTTAACTAATTTAAACTATTGAGTTAAAATATATTCTATATTTCCGGGAAATTTTATCTTAAATTAAAGATTCCCCAGATTTTAGTTTACCTGTATAATCTATGATTCTAACAGCGTTTTAAAGCTTATTACTTAGTTTAGTAAAGTCAAAAGTAAGAACGATGAATTATTACTCAAAGTGGTGCATACTTGCCATTTTTATTATTATTTTATTGTTATTATGTCTTTAACTAGAGCAATATTTCTCAATATTGCATGTGTGCAAAATTGAGTATGAGTTGCTTTGCCAAACTATAAATGTTTCTTCTCATCATGTTAGTAATTCTAGACATTTGCTATATTTTTAAAGATCCTCAAATAATCAAGTTAAGCATTTTCTAATCCACTGAACATTGTATAATATTTAGATGAGAAAATTCTATTTATTTTAACATGATTTAAAAGTAGTCGTATACATTTTACTCTGTGAAGAATCAAATCAGTCATTATTTTAGTTTTAGTTATTAACATTATCATGTTAAGTCAACAATTTCATATCGATATATTAATGTAATCAATTAATGTGTTTAATAATCGATTACTTGATTTTTATACCAGTAGGCCCTAGAATGAAGTTCTCAGTGTTTTTGTAAAATCTTCTTTCTTGGGAAACTTGAGCTGTTCCTGGCCCAGCATAGTTCATTTTGGCAGGTCAAAATCATGACTAATAATTTTACTTGTAAGTAAAAGTTAAAACAAAAACAAACATTTACTTACTTTTTCAAATATATATTGGTGGTAGATTTTAATATTACTCACCAATATTTTCTGTTCAACTCTTTCCACCCATAAGGCTGTTGTGGTTCTCCACCATCCCAAGATAAGTCACAGCCCAGTTACTTGCGTGGGCCCAGGAAAAGTGGACAGCCTTGCTGAGTGCCCCTGACGACCAGGGCTGGACTCCCCAGCATGCTCTTACCTGTGCCGCGTGGAGGAGGGTTGGGGCTGACGTACCATAAGATCAATCAAGGCAGTCTATAACGCTGAGACAACAGGACCGAGAACCCAGTGTGCAGTAAATTTTACATTAAGTCACAGAGATTTTGTGGACTTTGTTACTTCCACTTAAGCCAGACTATCCAGACAGATACTGTATAACAAAATTAAGTCTCATTAATTTTCTTTATGAACTATAATGATCAATAATGACTGTATTCTAGAAAAGTCATGCTATAATTATCTGTGACAAAATATCTGTTTTAAAAAGCACAAGGATCTCACCAGCAGACTTCAAGTGATAAATTGAGATATTTACAGATGCATTTTATTTTTTCTTTTTAACTGAAAGAAAATTCATTTTTCTCGGTTTCCTTCTAACCTTTAAATAGAAAGTTTGGCCAGGCACAGTGGCTCATGCCTGTAATCTCAGCACTTTGGGAGGCCGAGGTGGGCAGATCACAAGGTCAGCAGTTCAAGACCAGCCTGGACAACATGGTGAAACCCCATCTCTGCTAATGATAGAAAAAATTAGCTGGGAGTGGTGGCATGTGCCTGTAATCCCAGCTACTCGAGAGGCTGAGGCACGAGAATTGCTTGAAACTGGGAGGTGGAGGTTGCAGTGAGCTGAGATGGCACCATTGCACTCCATCCTGGGTGACAGGGCAAGGCTCCATCTGAAAAAATAAAAATAATTTAAAAATTTTTTAAAAATAAAAGGAAGTTTGCAGAAAATACCAAAAACAGTAATACTGGGCTTATTAATGTCTGCAAATTTGGGTATATTTTCACGTTGACTTTGCTTTTACTTTGTATTTTTATTTTTCACATATAAGATTGATTTTTTAAATTAACTATTACATAATACAAACAAAATACTCTGGAAATAACTACATATTTCCAAAATACATTTTATTGTTCTCTGACTTATTAAATACAATTTTACCTTTTAATTTAGTATTTTAAGGTACATCAGTATGAACAACAATTATTGAACGGTGACATCTAGGAGTTCAACAGAAAAGTAGGGAGCTGCTATCCCACAGCAAACAACCCTAGATTCCTGCACGACTATAATCTAGGCAATGTGCTTTCTATTCAGGATTATGACTCTCCTTTAGTGTCAGGCTCGTATGCCTATTGTTATGTGTTCTTGGTTATTTCTTACCTGTAAGCCTCAGTTTTTGCATTTTCAAAAACTCCTACTTCAAAATCCTCAGGGGAGAATCAGATGAGAATAATATAAACAATGAGCCTAGTATGCAGTAGATGCACAATAAATTATAGCTCTTAATTACTGTTATTATTATCGTTATTATTATTGTTATTGAGACGGAGTCTCTGTCTCCCAGGCTGGAGTACAGTGGCGCGATCTTGACTCACTGCAACCTTTACCGCCTGGGTTCAAGCAATTCTCCTGCCTCAGCCTCCCGAGTAGCTGGGATTACAGGCCTATGCCAGCACACCTAGCTAATTTTTGTATTTTTAGTAGAGACGGTGTTTTGCCATGTTGGCCAGGCTGGTCTCGAAATCCTGACCTCAGGTAATTCGCCCGCCGCGGCCTCACAAAGTGCTAGGATTACAGGCATGGTCCACCATGCCCGGCTAGCTCTTAATTATTTTTTCCAGCAGTATTGTTATGTTTGGCCAATAAAAGGTGTACAACTTAATGTTTTAAATAGATACACATTGTGAAATAATCACCACTATGTACTTTGATGTATCCATCAACTCACAATTACCATTCTCTTTCTTTTTTTGAAATGACAATGCTTAGGATTGACCCTCTTAACAATTTGCAAGTATACAAAATAGCATTGATAACTATAGTCACAATCCCATGCAGCAGATCTCTAGAATTTGTTCATCCTGCGTAACTGAAATGCTGTACCCTTGACCAACATCTTCCCGTTTGTCCCCTGCTTTACGCTCCTGGAAACCACCCTTCTACTCTCTGCTTTTGTGAGCTTGACTATTTAATGTTCCACACATAAGAGAGTTTACACAGCATTTGTCTTTCTGTATCTGGATTTTTTCAAATATTGTGTTGAATAAGTCATTTTGTACCCACTTTGTTGAATATATTTATCATGAATGAATATTGAGTTTCGGCAAGTGCTTCTTCTGCAACTATTGAGATGATCATGTCATTTTCTTTCATTCTGTTGATCTGGTATGCCACATTGATGGACTTTAATATGTTCAATCATCTTTGCATCCTTGGGATAAATCCTTTTTCGTAATGGTGTATGATGCTTTTAATGTGCTGTTGCTTGCTTTGGTTTGCTAATATTTTTTATTAAGGATTTTCACATCCACGTATTTCGCTTTCTGCATGTTTAGCAGTTGTTTTATTTTTCTCTTCCTCTCTTGCTATCTTTCTTCAATATTTGATGATTTTTTGTAGATTTACTTTGATTATTTTTTAACTATTTTGTATGTGTTGTGGACTTCTTTGTGGTTACCTCAAGGATTGCATAAAATATTATGTAGTTATATTCCATTATTTTAAGTTAATCACAACTTGACTTCAATCAAATACAAAGCTCTACACTTTTACTTCCTCCCCAGGTAATTAGTGTTCTTGCTGTGAGAGTTTGCTTCTTTATATGTTGTTTATCCATTAACAAATTTTTATCTTTTAACTTTCATATTAGAGTTAAAAGTAATTTATACACCACTATTGCATGGTCATATTATTTTGTATTTCTCTATGTATTTCTTTTACTAATGAGGTTCATGATTTCATATGCTATTATATTTCTGTCTGGTGTATTTTCATTTTGATTTGAAGAACTCCCTTAAGTGTTTCTTGTAAGACATGTCTAGTGGTGATGAATTGCATCCGTGTTATGTTTCTGAAAAAGACTTTATCACTCCTTCGTTTTTAAATAATAGTTTTTCCAGGTATAGCAATCACAGTAAGCAGTTTTTCTAAATTATTATCATTATTTTAGTAGAGGCTGAGCATCCCTAATTTGAAAATCCAAAATTTGAAATGCTCCCAAATCTAAGACATTGTGAATACAGTATATTGGTTGACTTGATGATGTCCCATGAAGCCTGTAGCTTTTCCTCTCTTTTTATTATTTTTTAAATTTTCCCCTCTGACTAGATTATTTCCAAAGTCCTATATTCTAGTTCACTGATTCTTTCTTCTACCCAATTGAGTCTGCTATTGAACCTCTCTATTGCATTTTTCACTTCATTTATCACATTTTTCATATCCAGAATTTGTTTGGTTCTTTTGTAATTATTTCTACCCTTTTGTTGAACTTCTCATTTTGTTTATGGATTTTTTTTCTCATCTTATTGAGTGTTACAAATGTTTTCTCTCATTCTTCACTGAGATTCTTTGAAACAATTGTTTTGAAATTATTGTTAGGCAATTTGTAGATCTTCATTTCTTTGGAGTCAGTTTCTGGAAATTTGTATTCCTTTGGTGGTGTCATATTTCCTTGAATTTTGTGTTTGTTGTTGTGCTGTGTTGGTGTCTGCACTTTTAAAGGAGTCATCACCTCTTACAGTGTTTACGTACTGGGTTCAGTGGAAAAATACCTTCATCTACTGGTGGATACAAGGTCACCAGCTGAGTTGGGTTAGTGTTAATGCCAGGTCCAAAGTCAGATCCAGGAATGCACAGGGATGCTGGTCCCAGGGGCATATAAGAATGTCAGTTCCAGGCGCAAGTGTCCCTGCAGGTACCAGAGGATGCACAGCAGCACCAGTTCCAAGGTCAGGTGGGCAATGCAACATTTACAACTCCATGGGGGCACAGCAGTGAGTTCCAGTCTATGGGGGCCACTGGTGCAGCCCTATCTCTGGGGAGTGCAGTGGCAACTTCTGCACTGGGGAAGGGCAAAGGTGCAATCATGCTTCTGGATCCAAGGAAGCACAGTCGTGTCTCTTTCTCTGCAGGGCACAGTTTCATGGACTCTGGAAATCTTCATTACCTGAGATCAGCATTAGCAAAAAGTGTTGGGGATCTTAGTGGCAAAGGCTGTGAGTGCCCATGGTGGTGTCAGTTGCTTCTGGGGTCCTCAGTGGTGAAGGCTGCTAGGGTCTTCTTGATCTTCCTTTTCCCACAGAGGAGAGTCATAATTGAGGGGATCCTTCTTGGCACTGAGCTGTGCCAGGTTTGAGGGATGGGTTACACAGACAAAATGTTTTTTATACTTTTCTATGTCACCATCCATGGTTTTTGTGCTCCACTGAGTTGAAACATATTCTTGATTATATACTGGAGTTCTTTCAGGGCTATTTGTTTCCATCGGCAGTTGTTAAATCATTGAATTTGTAAGGGAGTGAGGGCTGGGGCATTTTAGTCTGGAATTTGCTAATATCAGGTTCTGGTAGCTCTCATTATTATTATTACAATTCTTGCTATAGGCATATCTACTTTTAAATTATAACTTCAGTCGTATTCCAAGCTTTCAAACATATGTGTAAACCAACTATAATTGGATGAAAAAAAAGCCAAGTAAAAATACAGGTAAAGCACGTATACTCCAAGGAATTTACATTGTGACACTTATTTTGTGGCTCAGTGATCATGGGTCTCATGAAAATTATGTTTTGGATAGAAAAGATTGTCAGCTCTACTCTCTACTAGATGCAAAGGCCTTTTATGAAATAGAAAATTTACCAAAATTTAGGCTCTTGGCTAAGTTATCCTTCAGATAACTGACATATTTCAATTTTGTTGCCTTTTTTCACTTATGTAGTGGTTTATGCCAAAAATGATATATTTAACTATATATGTAGTTGTTGAGGGTAATAATTAAGCAAAATAATAGCATTCATATTATATTAACAATAACAATAGTATTTGATAATGTTATGAGTAAAGTGGCAAATTAAAATCTACAAGAGCCCAAGGGCATCATCATTTATCCCATGGAATATTATCTGAGGGATGGGACTATGGAGGCTTGAGGACTGGGCCAGAAATTTAGAGCAATATTCCTACTGCCTATGCATACTTAGTCACATTAGAGGAAGACACCCATATCAAAGACACAACTGTTCTCCCTCTTAAAACAATTCAAAGGTTTCAACTTATGTGGTACAAAAAGCAAAAAAATATCAGTTTGAAAATCCTGAAATGAATAACAATCATGATAGAAAAGACAGAGTCCTGACATGCTCTATGCCAAAAAAATAGGGAGTTCCTTGCCTCTGAAAAAAGCAGAGCTGGAAAGGCAGGATTAAATCATCTTCCACGTCTTTGGGTGCTTAGAAGTGAAATTTTTCATTAGGTGGAGTTGTTTGCAATAAACACACTACACTTCTTGCCTATAGAACAGTTGAAACTATCCATACATACACAGTCAAGTTTTTTCACTAGGAGCCAAGAAAGCAATGGGGGGAAAAGAGGCCATTGGAAAATGGGATATTTATATAGAAAAAAAATTTAAAAAGAAGCCTTGACTTTTTACACATTATACTATAAAATCGATTCAAAATTGATCATAGTTATATAAAATTATAAAGGCATTGGAGCAATAATTTAACCTTCCACCTGATAACAAGTAAAGGAAGAGAAAATTAAATTTAAAAGAAACAGTAATGGGATAAACATGTAAAAGCAGAAGTTAAAGAAATGAAAAGCAAATAATAAAAAAGGAAAACAAAGAAGGACAATTTTTCATTAATTTCTGTTAAGATCAATAAAATTGACAAATATCTGTATAGACTGATTAGGAAAATAAGAGTAAGGATGCAAGACACCAATATTAGGAATTACAGACGGAATACTGCCGCAGCCTGTATGAATATTAAAAATAGGAATATCATGGAAATCTTTAGGACAAGACATTCTACAGCTTAGATAAAATAGACACATTCCTTGACAAAGATAAGCTTTCAAATAGCTGATATCTATTAATAAATAGTCATATATCTATTAAAATTGTGTAAGTAGTTAAACATTTTCCCACCAAATAAAGTTCAAGCTAAGAAGTTGGTGAATTATATCAAATGCTTAAGGACAAAAATGCATTTATTTTACACATTCTTGGTTTTCCCAGAATAGAGAACAGGGGAATGCTTCTCAACTCATTTTATGAGACAAACATTACTCTGATTCTAAAATCAGATAAAGACATTACACAGAAACTTCAGGCCTAGATCACTCATCACTGTAAAAGAAAAAGAGCCTTAATTGTATGTTAGCAAATTGAAGTCACTGATATATAAAATGGATAATATATTATATTCAAGGGAGTTTATCACAGAAATGCAATCTTTGTTCAACATTCTAAAAAGCAATAAAGGCAAATCACCAAGTTTAAAGCATATAGGATAAAAATATGATGTGAATAGAGTAAGAGAGTACATCTGACAAAATTAAAAAAAATTTTATATAAAATAAAAGCTCTGTAAGATAAAAAATAAAAGGAAACATCTTTAACCTGATAAAAGTCATCTACAGAAACCTATATGAAACATCATACTAAGGAGTAAAGACTGAATTATTTTTTTTTCTATTTTATACAAGGCAAGATGTCTATGTTCACACTTCTATACAACATTGTACTAGAGGTCTTAATCAGTGTGATATGAAAAGAAAAATCCTTAGAGTTACAGGTTACAAAAGAAGTTAGCTCTTTATTGACCACTGTTACGTACATATGTGTAGAATATCCTACCAAACCCATAAACGGCTATAGTCAGCTATAAACAGCTATAAATGCATATCTAGCAGAATCGTGTTATAAGATCAATATACAAAACTCAAATGTATTTCCGTATACTAAAAATAATATGGAATTGAATTGAAGATAATTTATCATAACTTCAAAAATTAATACATATTAGAATGTATTGACCAAAATTTAATTAGTTGTATATAAAGAAAATTTAAAACATTGGTATGAGAAATTAAAAGAATTTAGTACATGCAAAATATATTGTATTTATGTATGGAAGATTCAAAATTGTTATGATGTAATTTATCACCAAATAGATGTAAATATTAAATGTAATCTTAATCAAAACCCCAACAAGCAATTTTTTGGTAAAGAAATTATTAGGCTTGATACAAAATGTATGAAAAAACAATCTTTAAGAAAACAACAAAATTTGAGGACTTCCAGTGCTTGACTTAAAGACTTATATTAAGCTATAGTAATGAAGATAATGTTATATTGAAGAATAGACAAGCAATCCAATGGAAAAAAAAAATAGTGAGTTCAGAAATAGAACTAAATGTAAAGGGTCAATTAATTTTGATGAAAAGAGTGCCCAGAAGCTGCCCTAAATAGACATGATCAAGTTATTTCACCCAAAGTGATTAAAGGGGAAAGAAGCTAAGGTAAATTAATGGGGAAAAGAATAGGCTTTCAACAGGTGGTCCTTGAAAACTGGACTATACTTTTGGTTGTATATGTTTACATTTATTTATTTACTTATTTATTTACTTATTTATACATTAGTAATTTCAGCTATTGTTTTAGATTCAGAGGGTATGTGTGTAGGTTTGTGATACGGGTGAATTGCATGTCACTGCGGTTTGATGAACAAATGATTTCGACACACAGGGAGTGAGCATACTACCCAATACTTAGTTTTTGACTCTTATCCTCCTCCTACCCTCTGCCCTCAAGGAGGCCCAGGTGTCTCTTGTTCCCTCTTTTGTGTCCATGTGTACTCAACGTTTGCTTCCCATTTATAAGTGAGAACATGCGGTATTTGGCTTTGTGTTCCTGTGTTTATTTGCCTGGATAATGGCATCCATGTTGCTGCAAAGGACATGATTTCACTCTTTTATATGTGGTGTACATGTACCACGTTTTCTTTATCTAATCCACCACTGATGAAGATTACCTGGCAAAAACAAACTTTTAGGGAAATGGAAATGTTCTGTATCTTTATTGTGGCAGTGGTTCTATGGGTCTATACGGTTGTCAACACTCAGTGAATTGTTCAAGTATAATGGGCATATGCACACACATATACATTTACAAATACACACACATATTCAATAAAGTTGATTAAAAATAAAGATGGAAGAACAATTTAAATTTGCCACTGAGTAGCTCTCATCCTGCTTCCTAACAATAAAGGTTTGAAGGCCCAGATCTCTCTTTTTATTACAAACAATCTCTGTCCCTTTTAGTCCAAGCTAGTTGTGGAGTTGTCTTTCATACAACATTTATAAAACCTTTGTGAGTTTCCTATGAATCTGATCAGAATTCATATAATGTCTCAAAGCCAGACCCATAATTCTTTTTGGAGTAGGTCCTTTCATGCTCTGGTCCTTGCGGGAGACAATTGCGGACAAGGCACCAATGATTCCTGAAAGCCGTTTTATAACTCTAGCTGAAAGAGGCTTCTTATCACTGTTGTCAATCTTTGAGTCCTTTAACATGTATCTTATAGCTACAACCTTATTTCAGCTGTACCCTGATGTCTTCTTCTACTTAGACAACCTTCTAAGCATAAGAATATTTTTAAATTTAATTCTCCAACCAAATCACCCTAAGTCTTCTCTGTTACTCTAATTTACTTACCAAGTGAACACCACTGAGGAAAGGATGTTTCAAGCAAACCCAGTCAAGAATCTCAAAGGAGTCATAGGCATCAGTGTAAATCTCCAAGGAGAAAGTAGAAATTTATTTGCACAACTGTCCTGACTTACCATAGAATCACTGCCTTTTTCTGTAACTCTTTAACAAGAAGGATAACTCTTAAACTATTAAATAGAGTGTACAATTTTTCTTATAAAAATATGTTTTTATATAGGAAGATGACCTAGGCCAGTTCAGACAGAGAAGATTAAGAGAAAAAAAAAAACATTTAGAACAAAATATACTTTAGACTCCAGGTACATGAACCTCTTTGGGGCATTTTTGATCCCTTAATTTGATCCCCTTTTCTGACACTACCTCCTCTCCCTGTTACCTTCCATCCACCACATATTTTCATGCAGTAACAGGGATTATTTTACTAATAGAAGGGGGATTTTCTGACAAAAGTGAAAATAACGTAACACGGGGGTTTTCTTGGTGAAAGAGTACCGACAATACTTTTATCTTTCTACCTACATGGTTTAGAAGTTATGTTCTGTATAATTTCAAAACATTTTGTAATATGGAAATCAGTAAATCATTTGACTGAGAAATTAAAAATTAAATGTGGTAAAAAAAAGAATTCATATACTAGAAAGTCATTCTCTACTTAATCTCTATTTTTTAATTAGTGCATTAAAAGTATGACAAAAGTACCAATTAAGCAATGGCAAACCAAATCACATAATAAGGACAGGAAGAATGAGGACTAGTTATTAATCTGGTTATACTACTGTATGAGTGTGGAATATGGTGAGGGTAAAAGGAAATGGCTTGGTGGAGAGGAATAACATAATAATGAAAGTACTTGAGAGTAGGAGAGATAAATAAAGGAAGGAACACTGTAACTTCCTCTTTGACTCTGTACCTCTTTTTTGTTTGTCCACTCTTTTTTTTTTTTTCCTTTCCTTCCTTGCAGGGAGAAGGTCACCGTGATGTGATGGAAAGGCAGAAATCAATGGTGGCTGGCTCCTCAGTGATATGAGTCAATCCATCAGACAGACTGGTGGCAGTCACCCAGCCTTCACAGCTACCACCCCCATGCTGGCAAATGTCACATTTGGAATTCATTTGCATAGCTGGGTAGCACTCCCTGCGGAGTTACATTGAACAATTTTGCAGCTGTGACAGCTTGAAATAGAAAAGCTAATGCAACTATCTATTGACTTCCTCTGTGCCTTGTTTCCCCAAACTCTAGCTTGGAATTCTTGTTACAGAAAGGGCGAGGATCACGTAAAAATGGAAGGGAAACTGGTGCAAAACTCTCAGGTATTTTGTGGAGAACACTATCAGTTAGCCTGCATTTCTTGTGTGTGTGGTTTTTTCTTTTTTGGTATTTCGTTTTGTTTTGTTTTGTTTTTAGATGGAGTTTCGGTCTTGTTGACCAGGCTGAAATGCAATGGAGCTATCTCGGCTCACTGCAACCTCCACCTCCCAGGTTCAAGCGGTTCCCCTACTTCAGCCTCCCAAGCAGCTGGGATTACAGGCATGCACCACCACGCCTGGCTAATTGTGTATTTTTAGTAGAGGCGGGGTTTCACCATGTTGATCAGTTACACTGCATTTCTTTTTTCTTTTCTTTTCTTTTTCTTTCCTTTTTTTTTTTTTTTTTTTTTGAGACAGAGTCTCGCTCTGTCGTCCAGGTTGCAGTGCAGTGGCGCAATCTCGGCTCACTGCAAGCTCCGCCTCCCAGGTTCACGCCATTCTCCTGCCTCAGCCTCCTAGTAGCTGGGACTACAGGGGCCCGCCACCACGCACGGCTAATTTTTGTATTTTTAGTAGAGAAGGGGTTTCACTGTGTTAGCCAGGATGGTGTCGATCTCCTGACTTCGTGATCCGCCCGCCTCGGCCTCCCAAAGTGCTGGTTACCCTGCATTTCTAATTCAACCTTCCTTGCCTCTAGTTTCTGCATTCACCTCTGACTATATTTCTCTGCTTTGCTGTATTGATTGGAAAGGATAGTACTGTTGGGTTCATTAATAGGTACATTGCCTTTTCCCTGTAGGGGAATAAAGACTTAAGTAACTTTCCTGAATTTCAGCAATACGGTTAAATTTTTTTTATGTCTATGTTAAATATTTTCTTCTATTTACAGTATCTTTCACCTCTCTCTCCCTTGCCCCATCCCTCTCTCCCTCCCTCCTTCCCTTTCTCTTTCTCTTTCCTTCCATTTTCTTTCTCTCTTTGCACATATACACAACCACATATGTACATACATACACTTACACAGACAGAGGCATGTGGGGGTAATGCATCATGGAATTGAGGCCTTTGATTAATTAATTAAAATTTTTACTTATAGAAAGAGTAAGCAGTAATACAGTTAGACGTGTATTTATTTAATTTTTAAAAATTTATTATTGAAGTACAGCTTATATACTTTTCAATGTAAAGATCCTAAGTATGGTGTCTAATAAGTTTGCCAAGTGTATTCACCCATGTTACCTACACTCCTGTAAAATTTTACATTATTTTCATCACCCTAGAAAGTTCCTGCATAAGCTTTTCTAATTACTTCACCTAATTCTCATAGCCACCGCTGTCATTTCTGTCACCACAGAAGAGTCTTTCCTATTCCTGCATAAATAAAATGTAGGATAAATGTAAATTGAATGTATACAATATGTACTCTATCTACCTGTTTTTCCACTACTCTCAGCAAAAGTTAACTCTCAAAATTGTCCATGATGAGCCTCTGGCAATTTGTCAACTGCAGTTTAGGTTTTCCTACCCCCAGTACCGATCCCCACAGTTTTCGTTCCTGGTGTTCTGCTCCAGGAACCTGTGATTCTCTGCATCCACCTGTCTTCGTCTTCAATATTTCGGTCGGTGTTTCACTTTGTGACCTCACATATCCTCACCTGACGGATCTAAGAAGAGTCGTCAATTTTTAGTGGGTTTTGTTTTCAACTTTTTCTTGTTGTGAAGTTGCAGTGACAACTTTCAAGCTCCTTACATTCCAGACCAGAAACCAGAAATCTCTCAGTATTATTTCAATCATTTACATTATTGACTTAGTTTATTGCTTCTTTAGGGTTTTATTTTTTCTTTATTTTGAAGCTTTATAATTAGATATATACATGATTATTGTTTATATGCTTTCCTGACGAATTGGCAATTTTATGATATTAAAATGGCCCCCTTCGTTTCTGATGATGTTTTTACCTAGAGTTATAATTGTCTGAGATTCATTATAGCTGCCCCAATTTTCTTAGGCTTAATACTTTCATATCATATGATTTTTCACCCTTTTACTTTAAACCTTCTAATGTCTTATATTTGAAGAATGCATCTGATAAATGACACATTTGTGTTTGGTTGGTTTTGTTTGTTTTAATTTTTTTCTCCATTTTCACCCAGGCTAAAAAAAATATGCGTTTTATTCAGGCTATTTAGTCCATTTATGTTTAATGCAATTATTGGTTATATTACCCATTCTCTTTAGATAAATTGAGAATTGTTCTGATATCATTTCTAATATTCTCTATTTGCTTTAGTTTCACCTCTTTGTGTTATATTTTTAATAGTTGTCTTAAAGATTACAATACACATATTTAACTGATTATAGTTGATCATTCTAATAGTTACTTATCTTTAACTTCCTTTCACCAGATAATTTGGGCTTTTATCTGGTATATTTTACCAGATAAAATATACCAGATGTATATTTTACTTCTACAAACATCATAAGCCATATCATACGTTACTATTTTCATTTTATTTTGCCTGCAGTTCTGGGTTTTTATCTGGTATAATTTTCCCTCTCCCTGAATAACTTCTTTCAGTATTTCTTGTATGCAGTCCATTTGGGGACACATCTCCTCAATGTTCAGTTACCTGAAATTGTCTTTCTTTAACTTTCTTTTTTCAAAGATGTAGATTCCCATACTATTTTCTCTTTCTTTAAGCACTTTAAAATATATTTTTACAGTTTCTTCTGGATGAAGTTCCCACAACAAATATGAATGTATATGTAATAAAATGCTTATAAAATAATGGATAATACATTAGCCTAACCATATCTGAGGAATATTTTTAAATTTCTGTTAATATAGTATGGAGTAAAAACCATAGCTAAGTAATCATATACTTCTATACTCACACTTCAGTTGTTGCTTTTTTAAGTTGAGCTATATTTTTAGTTTATTTTTAACTTGAACTTTGTAGAAATAATGGGCTTCTTGTCATGCTTTTACCATTTTCCTCTTTATGTCTTTTATAAGAATAAATAGAAAGATAAAAGGCTTTTTCACACAGAGCACTGTAGGTTTGACTGTTACATTTATCATTAAGTTGTAATTTTAAGTGGTTATTCTTTTCAAAAACTAATCATAAACTGAATTATTTCTCAGTGAAATTTATCTTTACATAAACAAAATAATGTATTACACATTATGCATATTTTAAAAAAATAAGTAATGCAAAGCCATATGCCTTTATTATTTTAGAGTATGTTCACATGATACAGGAACATTGGGTAAAGACAGTAAGCTTTTCTCATTAAAAAGGAACCTGGGAAAACATGTATTAGTTTATTGCTTTGGGAAAACTGGGCTGGAGACAAAGTGAAAACCTTAACAATTTTTTTCTCTTTCCCATCTGTACTTCAATGCTCTTCATTAAACCTTGTTGCTACAACTCTATGAATTACATATCACGTTTATTGACTTTTCAAAAGCTAGCATGATCCCTTCTCAAATAAACAATGTGAGTTTGTTAACTTTATATTATTATAGGCCAAGTGTCAGTTAGAACATCAGTATCAGAGAGATTTTCATGAATCAAGTTTCACTAAACTTTCTAGATTAGTCTGGATAATCTGTTGCTTACAAATAAATGTATAGTTTCATTGATATTGAAGGTGTGTGGTGAGCATGCTAGCAGTAGTAGTGGTTAAATAAAGCTGATGTAAAAAATATAAACGAGAGGGTTTTGCATTTTTTGGCATGCATGTAAGTAGATGCATAAGTGAGAGTATTCAGGACCCACTTGAGGAGAATATTTTACTCTTTTGATGATTCCTACTAAACATCAAAATTCCAGCATTACCCCTATTTTATCATGATTCAGATAGCTTTCAGAATAAATGCAAATAGGTCTTTCTCTAGTTACATGTCCAGGCCACCTTGCACGCAAGATGCAATCTGCTTATGCAGGTCAAGAGAAAAGCAGAACATTTGAGGATTGGCACCAGCAGAAACCTCCCTGGTACGTATTTTTTGATATTACATGACAAATTTTTGGTGAATTTTCCTAATTGCATTTGTATATAATCAAGAGTGGCTAAAACTAGGAAAAACATGAATTTCTAGATAAACTAATACAAGAGAATTTAATACGAAAAGTATCGAAATGGTCCTACTAAACACTCCTAAATGGTTATTCTTATGTTTTGAACATTTGTGTCCCTCTAAAATTTATATGCTGAAACCTAATCACCAGTGTGATGATATTGGGAGGTGGGGTCACTGGGAGATGATTAGGTTGTGAGGGTGAAAGCATCATGAATGGGATTAGTGCCCTTATTTTTAAAAGGTCCTAGAGAGCTGCCTTGGCCCTTCCACCATGTGAGGACACAGCAAGAACACACCATCTATGAACCCAAAAGTAGGTTCTTCCAGACATAGAGGTTGTCAGTGCCTTGATCTTGGACTTCACAGATTCCAAATCTATGAGCAATAAATTTCTGTATTCATAAGCTACTCAGTTTAGGCATTTTGTTACAGCAGCCCAAATAGTCTGAGACATTTATAAATTCCACTTAAGTTTTTCCAAGTTGAGATTTTCTCTTTTGATTTAGTACATCATGTATTGACTATTTTTTATACCACTTGACCTCTTATTACTTAATTTTTACATATTATGTCATATATTCATTATGCAAACCTTGAGGATTAGGTACTGAGATTAGTCTTATTATATAGAATAACAGAAGCAATATATCAAATGAGTAATCTAAGATTCCAGAAGAAATTAAGGTAGTGTTGAAAAGAGGAAGAGAGAACTGTAACTCCTATTACTGCATGCATTAGACAATGTAGTATGCTGTTTTCTAAAAATTATCTTATTTTCTTTAATTCTCATAATAAATCATTGAGTAAATATTATATCTATCCCGCAGATGAGAATAACAAGATTTGCTGAATATCATATAAGCAATTGGTGAAAATTGCACCATCATTAGGGACAAAGAAGAGGAAACTTTTCTTCTGAGGGCTCCACTATTGTCCTTCGGTGACCACAGCTCTGTCCACTGTCCATAAGTCTTGGGTAGCAAGAGAATTTTTTTTTAGGGTCATTACACTGTAGTCCATGTTCCAGGTACCCAGGACCACAGTGTTCCCTGCCCAAAGGACCACAGCCTAATTCTTTGGCCAGTATGGGCTTTTTCCTTCTCCTAAGGGTGGTCCATATTATGCATGTTTTTCACCTCAGTTCTATGGGTGCTTGACTCTTCAGTGGGTTCAGCTTGGTTGTACAGGTGGGCGTTTCCATGTGCATGCACGCAATGCTCCTTATGGTGCAGCTGAAAGTTGGAAATAAGATGAGTTGGGGTTAAACCACTAACTTGGGGAAAATCTCTGAGGACTCTCAATTTTACTCTAGACTTCAGGTTGTTAGGAAGATATATTTATTAAGATAGCAGGATAGAGAATATTTTATGTAACATTCTGGTGGCTTGATTTGTAATCTTGTAATAATTATATATATATATATGTAATCTTTATTAAAAGATTACAAATATATATATTATATATGAACTTTGTGGATCTCAGAAATGGTAGGGGCTTGAATGAAAAAACTGCCAATCAAGAATACTATATACAACAAAGCCATCCTTTGGAAATGAAAAGAAATAAAGTCTTTCTCAGGCAAGCAAAATCTGGGGGAACTGTCACCATGAGACCAGTCCTACAAGATATGCTAAAGGAAGTAGTACATTTGGGTGCCAAAGTACACAATCTATGACACGAAAACACACAAAAGTATACAACTCACTGCTAGAGCAAATATAAAAATGAGAAAGAGAAAGGAATAAGTTATTACTGCAGAAAGCCACCATATAGCAAAGATAAATAATAAGAAAGGAAGATAAGAATGAAGAATATACAGAAAGAAATTGGAAACTAACAAAATGACAGGATTAAGTCCTCACCTATCAATAACAACCTTGAACGTAAATGGTTTAAATTCCCTAATTAAAAGATATAGACTGGCTGAACAGCTGACAAAACAAGACCCAACTATATGCTGCCTACAAAAAACTTATCTTACCTGTGAAGACACACAAGGTGAAAGTGAAGGTACGGAAAAAGATATTCCATGCAAATGGAAAACAAAAGAGTGCAGAAGTAGCTATCCTTATATTAGACAAAATAGATTTTAAGTAAAAAAATAGAGACAAAGACAATTATTTTATACTAATAAAGGGATTAATTCAGCAAGAATATAAGAATTGTAAATATGTATGCACTCAACCACAGAGCACTAAGATATATACAGCAAATATTATTAGAGCTAAAGAGAGAGATAAACCATAATACAATGATAGCTGGACACTTTAGCACCCCACTTTCAGCATTGAACAGATCATCTAGATAGAAAATTCATAAAGAAATATAAGACTTAAACTGCACTATAGACTAAATGGACCTAACAAACATTTACAGAACATTTCATCCAATAGCTGAAGAGTGCACATTCTTCTCATCAGCACATGGAAAATTGTCCAGGATAAATAATATTTTAGGATACAAAACAAATCTCAACACATATAAAAAAATCAAAATCTTATCAAATACCTTTTTAGGCCACAAGGGAATGAAATCAGAAATCAATAACAAAAAGAGCTCTAGAAACTGTACACATATGTGGGAATTAAACAACATGCTTCTGAACAATCAATGGGTTCATAAAAAATAATTGAGAAGGGAATCAAAAAATTTCTTGAAACAAATGAAAATGGGAACACAACATACCAAAAGAGATATAGCAAAATCAGTACTAGGAGTAAAGTTTATAGCAATAATCCCCTATATAAAAAACTAGAAAATTTGAAATAACCTAATAATGCACATAAAAAACTAGAAAATCAAGAACAAACCAAACCCAAAAATTAATAAAAGGAAACAAATAGTAACGATCAGAGCAGAACAAAACAAAACAGAGATGAGAAAAACAATACAAAAGAACAAAAGATCAACAAAACAGAAGGTTTGCATTTTATAAGTTAAAAATCACCAAAGCATTAGCTAGATCAAGAAAAAGAGAAAAGATAAAAATAAATAAAACAGAAATGAAAAAGGAAGGATTACCAAGGTTGAATCAGTGCATCTAAGCTTTAGTTTTGTCACTTCTAAAGCTATGAAGCATTATTTCTCTTTTATTACTTATTTAAATTCTGTTTTCTCTTTTACTCTCAATTTTCTCTTCTTGTAGTAATGGCATGTACTAATATGATTAGATAGTATTTTAGAGGAGCTAGCATTTTATTGAATATGTAGCCATATATAAATTTGTTTTAGCATTCAATAATGAAATCATCTGTGCCTAGACTTCTTTTTTTTTTTTTTTGAGATAGGGTCTGGCTCTGTCACCCAGGCTGGAGTGCAGTGGCACGGTCCCAGCTCACTGCAACCTCTGCCTCCCAGGTTCAAGTGATTCTCATGCCTCAGCCTCCCAAGTAGCTGGGGTTACAGGCACATGCCACCATGCTCTGCTATTATATATATATATATATATATATATATATATATATATATATATATATATATATTTAGTAGGAATGTGGTTTTGTCATGTTGGCCAGGTTGGTCTTGAACTCCTGACCTCAAGCAATTCACCAGCCTGGGCCTCCCAAAGTACTAGGATTACAGGCATGAGCCACTCTGAATTGTTTTTGTTGTGGCTGCAGATATTTACCTATAAATTAAGAGATATGGGGTATTCAGTTTATCTACTTTTCTTGAGTTAGGTTTGCCAGTTTATATCTTTGTGATAATTTTTCCATTTCATCCTCATTGTGAAATTGTAGGACTATAACTGTTCATAATATTCACTACTACACATTTAATATCTGTAGATCTTATAGTGCTACTCTCTTCCTTTAATCCTCAGATTGGTAATTTTAGTCTTTTTTTCCTTCATCAATCTAGCAAAAGGTTATCCATTTGAGTAAACCTTTAGAAAAAAGAGCATTTGGTTTTATTAATTTTCTCTATTTTTCTGTTCATAATTTGATTGATTTCTGCTTTTCTGTTGCTTGTTTAGGGTTTTTGTTCTCTTTTTTTTTAAAGTATGAATCAAAGATTTGTAATATTTCTTCTTTTTAAACATGAAAATTTAATACTATAGATTTCCCTCTCAGCACTGCTTTGGCAGAATCTCATCCATTTCATGATGTATTTTTATTTTAATTCAATCAAAATATTTTCTAAATTTATCATTTCTGTTTGACCCATTTGCTATTTATAATGTGTGTTTTTTAGTTTCTAAATAGTTCAAAATTTTCCAGATGTTTTTCTGTTATTGATTTCAGTATTTTATTTTTTTACTTCTATTTCCTTGTAATCATATTATATTATTACTATTTTAGCAGTTATTGCATAATTAACTTACTATTTTGCCAATTCTTGACACTGCTATAACCATAGAATATTTGAGTTCCATTTTTTTTGGGCGGGGTGGGGAGGATTGCAGAGGTCGGGGAAACAATGTCCCACCGTGTCACTCAGGCTGGAGTGCAATGGTGCCATTATAGCTCACTGCAGCCTCCTGGGGTTAAGATATCCTCCTGCCTCAGCATCTGAAGTAGCTGGAACTACAGGTGTGTGACACAACATCCAGCTTATATTTTTAGAAAAATTTTGTAGAGTCTTGCTATGTTGCTCTGAGTCTTGCTATGTTGCCCAAGCTGGACTTAAACTCCGGGTCTCAAATGATTCTCCTGCCTTGGCTTCCCAATGTGTTGGGATTACAGGCATGGGGCATCATGCCCGGCCTAATCACATTTTTTTCTTTAACTTTTGTGTGTGTTTATTGTTATCATGAATTTTATTTCTAAATATAATTTAAATTCCAAATGACAATACAATTATTGTCTTCGAACAGTCATTATTTGCTGTGTTTACTCACATCGTTCCTATTTTCTTTGATCTTTATTTCCTCCTGGAATTGCTTTTTTCCAACATGGAATAATTTTCTTTCTTACTGAAGAACATTTTTTAACATTATTGTTGTTTTTTAGTGAAGAATTGTTAAGAATAAATACCTCCAGATTTTATTTTTATTTAAATTTTACTTTCATTTTTAAAGAATATAATCCCCAGATACGGAATTCTACTTTAGCTGTTTGAAAGATGTTCCATTGGTTCAGGCCTTCCATTATGTCTATCAAATTTTCTTCTAAGTCCTAATGTATTCATTGATGATAGTGTCTTCTTTCTCTTACTGTTATTATTTTTATCAGCTATATTATGATTTTTCCTACATATAGTTTTCTTTATGTTCATTGTATTCGGGATAGTTTTACTTGACATAGGAAAGAGCTGATTTATGTTATCATATTGTGAAAATTCTTTATCACTAACTTTTTAAACATTAATTTTAACCCATTTCTCTATTCTTCTCTTCCTGAGATTTCCTGACACATATATTAAAGCTATTGAATGAATCCTATATTTATTTTATGATTTATTTTAATTTTTAAATATACTCTTTCGTATGTGTTTTTATTTCTGTATTTTCTATTGATTTTCTTTCAAGCTTAATTCTCTTTGTACAATGTTCAATCTGTTGCTCAACTTATTTATTGACTTCTTCAAATTTTGCGTTTTGAGATAACTAAATTTACATGAAGTTGTAAGAAATCATATAATATAAAAAATCTACAAACCTTTAGTTTATTTTTCCAATGGTTGTAAGATCTTACGTGTATATAGTACAATATCAACACCAAGGATTTCATATTGAAACAATATATTAATCTCATTCAGATTTCATCAGTTTTACATTCATTCATATATATGTATGTATAGTCTATGCAATTTAATCTCATATACAGATTCATGTGACAACCACCACAGTTAAAATACAAAACAGTTTCATCAGAAGAATTTCTTATGCTATTCTTTTATAGCCAGAGGCAATTCCGTTTCTGCTCCTCTCCAAACAAAACCTGTGGAAACCATTAATCTGTTCACATTATGAACGCTGAATATTTATTTTATCATTTGGGTTATAATCCAATACTACTTAATCTTGTTGCTTAATTAATCCAGCTTAGGCTTTAGGAAACCTTTCAGTTGACTTTTGTGTCTTTTGGCATATTCCCATTATTTTGGGATTTATTTTTTAGCACTTCCTCACTTTCTGGTGCCACAAATTGCTCCAGGTCATTTTACAAGGGATTGCGTTGAATCTGTAGATCAACTTGGAGTGTACTGCCTTCTGAACAATATTAAGTCTTCTGATAGACAAACAAGGAAACTGTCCTTATGTTTGGATCTTCTTTACTTTCTATCAACAATGTTTTATAGTCTTCATGTACAAGTCTTGCAGTTCTTTGGTTAAGTATAATCTTAAGTATTTCTTGTTTTTGATGCTTTGTGAGTGAAATTGTTTTCTTAATCTCATGTTTGAGAAGTTCATTGTTAGTGTATAGAAATACAACTGATCTTTGTATTTGGATCTTGTATACAATAACTTTGCTGAAATACTTTATTAGCTCTAAGTGGTTTCTTTGTGTATTCTTTAGGGTTTTCTATTTATGAGATTATATCTTCTGGAGAGATAATTTTACTTCTTCCTTTTTAACCTGATTATCTTTTGGTTGTCTTGCCTGGTTACCCTGGATAAAGCCTCAAGTATAATTCTGAAAGGTGGTGGTAAGAATAGACATCCTTGTCTGGTTTCTCGTTATAAAAGAAAGTCTTAGAATTTTCCCATTAAGTGTGATATTATCTATAGGTTTGGCTTTTTCGGTAGATTCTTTTTATCAGGTTGAGAAAGTTTTTGATCATTTCAATCATAAAAATTTCATGCGCGTCTGTGTGAAGAGACCACCAAACAGGCTTTGTGTGAGCAATAAAGCTGTTTATTTCACCTGGGGGCAGGTGGGCTGAGTCCGAAAAGAGGCAGCAAAGGGAGATAGGGGTGGGGCCGTTTTATAAGATTTGGGTAGGTAAAGGAAAATTACAGTCAAAGGGGGTTTGTTTTCTGGTGTGCAGGAGTGGGGGTCACAGTGTACTCAGTGGGGGAGCTTTTGAGCCGGGATGAGCCAGGAGAAGGAATTTCACAAGATAATATCATCAGTTAAGGCAGGAACAGGCCATTTTCACTTCTTTTGTGGTGGAATGCCATCAATTAAGGCAGGAAGCGGCCATCTGGATGTGTACATGCAGGTCACAGGGGATATGATGGCTTAGCTTGGGCTCAGAGGCCTGACATTCCTGTCTTCTTATATTAATAAGAAAAATAAAACAAAATAGTGGTAAAGTGTTGGGACGGTGAAAATTTTGGGGGATGGTGTGGAGAGATAATGGGCGACGTTTCTCAGGGCTGCTTCGAGCGGGATTAGGGGTGGCGTGGGAACCTAGAGTGGGAGAGATTAAGCTGAAGGAAGATTTTGTGGTAAGGGGTGACATTGTGGGGTTGTTAGAAGAAACATTTGTCATTTAGAATTATTGGTGATGGCCTGGATACAGTTTTGTATGAATTGAAAAACTAAATGGAATAAGAGAAGGAGAAAAACAGGTATAAAAGGTCTAAGAATTGGGACGACACAGGACATCTGATTAGAGAGTGCCTAAGGAGATTCAGCATAGTCTTGCCAGCAAAGATTATTTATTTACTTCAAGAGTTAAGAGTGGCAGTTTGGAGATAGCACCAGGAGATATCAGCTGTGATGGCTTGGAGAAACAGTGTAAACCGGCAGTGTAAACAAGAGCAGGGCATGTATGAGTAGTTGAGAATGGTGAATAGAAGTATGACTAGACAGAAGACAGTAGGGATGACAAGTTTTTCTGGGGCACAGTCTAAGTTGGTCTGGTGTCTGGAATGAGACTGGGGCCTAATAAAAAGGAGCATCTATACAGGAGCTTAAATGGGCTGTACTTTGTAGCATTCTGAGGACAGGTCTGACTTCTGAGAAGGGAAAGTGGTAAAAGTGTTGTCCAGTCCTTTTTAAGTTGGTGGCTGAGCTTGGTGAGGTGTGTTTTTAAAAGACCTTTAGTCTGTTCTACTTTTCCTGAAGACATAGGACTGTAAGGGATATAAAGGTTTCACTGAATACTAAGAGCCTGAAAAACTGCTTGCCTGATTTGACTAATAAAGGCTGGTTATCAGACTGTATAGAGGTGGGGAGGCTAAACTGAGGAATTATGTCCACAGAAGGGAAGAAATGACAAGGCTAAACTGAGGAATTATGTCTGACAGAATGGAAGAAATGACTGTGGTGGCCTTCTCAGACCCTGTAGGAAAGGCCTGTACCTATCTAGTGAAAGTGTCTACCTAGACTAAGAGGTATTTTAGTTATCTGACTAGGGGCATGTTGAGTAAAGCTAATTTGCCAGTCCTGGGTGGGGGCAAATCCTTGAGCTTGATGTGTAGGGAAGGGAGGGGCCCTGAATAATCCCTGAGGAGTAGTAGAGTAGCAGATGGAACACTGAGAAGTTACTTCTTTGAGGATAGATTTCCACGATGGAAAGGAAATGAGAGGTTCTAAGAGGCGGGCTAGTGGCTTGTACTATAGCATAGCCTGCCTTTGCTGGTGTGTGGCGATTAGGCATGGTGGAACTGCCATCAATAAATCAAGTGTGATCAGGGTGAGAAACAGCGAAGAAGGAAATGTGGGGAAATGGGATGAACATCAGGTGGATCAGAGAGATGCAGTCATGAGGGTCGGGTGTGGTATCTGGAATAATGTGGGAGGCGGGATTGAAGTCCGGGCCAGGAACAAGGGTAATTGTGGGACTTAATAAAGAGTGAGTACAGCTGAAGGAGCCGGGGAGCAGAAAGTACATGCGTCAGGTGTGAGGAAGAAAATAGATTTTGGAAATTATGAGAGCTGTAGGGAGTGAGTTGAGCATAGTTTGTGATTTTTAGGGCCTCTAAAAGTATTAAAGCAGTGGCAGCCGCTGCACGCAGACATGAGGGCTAGGCTAAAACAGTAAGGTCAAGTTGTTTGGACAGAAAGGCTACAGGGTGCGGTCCTGGCTGTTGTGTAAGAATTCTGACCGCACTAACTATGCCTAGGAAGGAAAGCAGTTGTTGTTTTGTAAGGGATTGAGGTTTGGGAGATTAATGGGACACGATCAGCAGGGAGAGCACGTGTGTTTTTATGAGAATTATGCTGAGATAGGTAACAGATGAGGATGAAATTTGGGCTTGACTGAAGTAATGGGGTCTGTCTGCGAAGCCTTGCAGCAGTACAGCCCAGGTAATTTGCTGAGCCTAATGGGTGTGAGGGTCAGCCTAAGTGAAAGCGAAGAGAGTCTGGGATGAAGGGTGCAAAGGAATAGTAAAGAAAGCATGTTTGAGATCCAGAACAGAATAATGGGTTGTAGAGGGAGGTATTGAGGATAGGAGAGTATATGGGTTTGGCACCACGGGGTGGATAGGCAAAACAATTTGGTTGATAAGGTGCAGATGCTGAACTAACCTGTAAGTCTTGTCTGGTTTTAGGACGGGTAAAATGGGGGAATTGTAAGGAGAGTTTATAGGCTTTAAAAGCCCATGCTGTAGCAGGCGAGTGATAACAGGCTTTAATCCTTTTAAAGCGTGTTGTGGGATGGGATATTGGCGTTGAGCAGGGTAACGGTGATTAGGTTTTAATGGGATGGTAATGGGCATGTGATCAGTTGCCAGGGTAGGAGTAGAGATGTCCCATACTTGTGGGTTAAGGTGGGGGGATATGAGAGGAAGACGCAAAGGAGGCTTTGGGTTGGGGAGAAGGGCAGCAATGAGATGTGGCTGTAGTCCAGGAATAGTCAGGGAAGCAGATAATTTGGTTAAAATATCTCGGCCTAATAAGGGAACTGGGCAGGTGGGGATAACTAAAAAAGAGTGCATAAAAGAGTATTGTCTAAGTTGGCACCAGAGTTGGGGAGTTTTAAGAGGTTTAGAAGCCTGGCTGTCAATACCCACAACAGTTATGGAGGCAAGGGAAACAGGCCCTTGAAAAGAAGGTAATGTGGAGTGGGTAGCCTCCATATTGATTAAGAAGGGGACAGACTTACCCTCCACTGTGAGTTACCTAGAGCGTCTGTGATGGTCCTGTAGGCTTCTGAGGCAATCGGGCAGTGTCAGTCTTCAGCCGCTAAGCCGAGAAGATCTGGGAAGGAGTCAGTCAGAGAGCCTTGGGCCAGAGTTCCAGGGGCTCTGGGAGTGGCTGCCAGGTGAGTTGGACAGTCTGATTTCCAGTGGGTTCCTGCACAGATGGGACGCGGCTTAGGAGGAATCCTGGGCTGCAGGCATTCCTTGGCCTGGTGGCCAGATTTCTGGCACCTGTAGCAAGCTCCTGGAGGAGGAGGTTCTGGAGGAACGCCTGGCCGCTGCGGTTCAGGCGTTTGGAAGTTCTTGTGTGCTGGAGATGTGGCTGGGGTTTGTCTCCCAGTGGAGGTAAGGAATTTTAACTTTTTTCTATTATTGTACACCTTGAAGGCGAGGTTAATTAAATCCTGTTGTGGGGTTTGAGGGCCGGAATTTAATTTTTGGAGTTTTATTTAATGTCGGGAGCAGATTGGGTAATAAAATGTATTTTGAGAATAAGACGGCCTTTTGACCTTTTAGGGTCTAGGGCTGTAAAGTGTCTCAGGGTTGCTGCCAGAGGAGTCATAAACTGGGCTGGATTTTTATATTTGATGAAAAAGAGCCTAAACGCTATCTGATTTGGGATAAAGAAAAAGGAACATTAACCTTGACTATGCCTTTAGCTCCAGCCACCTGTTTAAGAGGAAATTGCTGGGCAGGTGGGGGAGGGCTAGTCAGTGA
Organism: Homo sapiens; assembly: GCF_000001405.40. Taxonomy (NCBI): domain Eukaryota; kingdom Metazoa; phylum Chordata; class Mammalia; order Primates; family Hominidae; genus Homo; species Homo sapiens. The sequence goes on from NC_000006.12 coordinate 164,656,096, forward strand.
ATGAAACTGTAAGCTGGACCGGGTGTGAGGAGGGGAGGTGATAAAAGGATTATAGGGTGGAAGAGCGGAGGCTGAGGAAGAACTGGGACCTAGCTCGGCCAGGCGAGGAGCAGCCTGGGGAGGAGGGGAGAGGTCAGATGGGTCTGTAGAAAAGGAAGATTAGAAAGACTCAGCGATGCTTGGGGTTGGGACTGAGGGGACAGGTGGGAGGGAAAGAAGGAAGATTTGGGACGAGTTGCACTGGGCACAGAGACTAGGAAGGGACCGATGTGTAAAAGAATGCCTGCACATCAGGCACCTCAGACCATTTGCCTATTTTACCACAAGAATTATTTAGATCTTGCAGGATGGAAAAATTGAAAGTGCCATTTTCTGTCTATTTGGAACTACTGTCGAGTTTATATTGGGGTCAAGCGGCATTGCAGAAGAAAATAAGACGCTTAGATTTTAGGTCAGGTGAGAGTTGAAGAGGTTTTAAGTTCTTAAGAACACAGGCTAAAGGAGAAGAAGGAGGAATGGAGGGTGGAAGGTTGCCCATAGTGAAGGAGGCAAGCCCAGAGAAAAGAGAGAGTAGAGACATGGAGGGAAGGGATTTGGGGGTTCTTACCCTCCAGAAAAGCGGGAAAGGGGTCGGGGCACAGAGATACGAGGTTGGGGCGTGGAAATAAGGGATTGGGATGCAGAGATATAAGAGGTTGGGGTGCGGCAATAAGGGATCGGGGCACAGAGATATAAGAGGTTGGGGCGCAGAAATAAGGGATTGGGGCACAGAGATAAGAGGTCGGGGCTTGGAAATAAGGGATTGGGGTACAGAGATACGAGGTTAGGGTACTTGCCTCTCCCCCAGAAAAGCAGGACTTGCCACTAAGGATGAAGGAGAAGGGGTTGGGGGTTTCTTGTCCTCCAGAAAGGTGGAGAAGGGGTAGAGACATGGAGAGAAGGGGTTGGGGTACTTGCCCCTTCCCCAGAAAAGCGGGACTTGCCGCTAAGGGTGAAGGAGAAGGGGTTGGGGGTTTCTTGTCCCCCAGAAAGGCGGAGAAGGGGTAGAGACACGGAGAGAAGGGGTTGGGGTACTTGGCCCTTTCCCAGAAAAGTGGGACTTGCCGCTAAGGGTGAAGGACCAAGGCAGGCGTCCCTGCATGGTCTGACACCTCTGAAACCTGGGTGACTAATCAGAGAGGCGCCCGTGCAACGATTAAACACCAAGGGAAGGCTGCCTTTCCTAGGCCATGACTGGCGCTGGAATTTTGGGTCCACAGATAAAACGTGTCTCCTTTGTCTCTACCAGAAAAAGAAAGGAATTGAAATTAAATAAGGGAGAGATTGAAGTGTGGCGCTAAGATTGAAAGGAGAAAGAGGTTGAGGGATAGTGAGGGAGGTTGGAGAAGAGAGTAAAAAGAGGCCGCTTACTGGATTGGAAATTGGTGAGATGTTTCCTGGGCTGGTCAGTCTGAGGACCTGAGGTCATAGGTGGATCTTTCTCATGGAGCAAAGAGCAGGAGAACAGGGGATTTATCTCCCAAGGGAGGTCCCCCGATCCGAGTCACGGCATCAAATTTCATGCGTGTCCCTGTGAAGAGACCACCAAACAGGCTTTGTGTGAGCAATAAAGCTGTTTATTTCACCTGGGGGCAGGTGGGCTGAGTCCAAAAAGAGAGTCAGCAAAGGGAGATAGGGGTGGGGCCATTTTATAAGATTTGGGTAGGTAAAGGAAAATTACAGTCAAAGGGGGTTTGTTCTCTGGCGGGCAGGAGTGGGGGTCACAAGGTACTCAATAGGGGAGCTTTTGAGCCAGGATGAGCCAGGAGAAGGAATTTCACAAGACAATGTCATCAATTAAGGCAGGAAGCGGCCATCTGGATGTGTACATGCAGGTCACAGGGGATATGATGGCTTAGCTTGGGCTCGGAGGCCTGACAAAAAGAATGTTAGGTTTTGTTAAATTTTTATGTGTCCATTGAGATTATTTTATTTTTTATTCCATTAATCTGATGTATTACATAGATTGATTTTTGTATGTTGAATTGCTCTTTCAATTTTCCATAAATCCCACTTGGTCATGCTGTGTAATTTTTTTGGTAAGCGGCTGAATTCAGTTTTCTAGTAATTTGATGAAGATTTCTGTATTTATGTTTATAAATAATAATGGTCTATAATTTTCTTTTCTTGTGATGTTTTGTTATCAAGTAATACTGGTCTCAAAGAATGAGTCAAAAAGTATTCTTTACTCTTAGATTGATGTTAATCCTTCTTCAAGTAAGTGATATAACTCACAGTAAAATCATGTGGCCTTGGGTTTTTATTTGTGGGAAGTTTTATTGAATACTTAATCTCTATATTTATATGGAATATATCCATATAAATTAGCACTTCCTCTCTTTCTGGTGCCACAAATTGTTCCAACTCACTTTACAAGGGATTGCATTGAATCTGTAGATCAACTTGGAGTGTATTGACTTCTTAACAATGTTAAGTCTTCTGATCGTCAAACAAGGAGCCTTTGCATATATTTAGATATTCTTTAATTTCTGTCTTTATATGGAATATATTCGTGTAATGTAGATTAAGTATTCAATAAAATATTCTTAATCTCTCTCTATGTATGGATATATTCAGGTTTTCTATTTCTTCTTCAATTTTGGTAGTTTATATCATCCTTATCTGTGTTGTGTGATTTGTTGATATACATGTATTTAGAGTATTCCTTGATGATTTTTTTCATTTCTATATGGACAAGAGTAATTTTCATTTTTCATTCCTGATTTTAGTAATTTGAGTCTTTTCTTTTTTCTTGGTCACAGTTGCTAAAAACTTGTCAATTTGCTTGATAGTTAAAATATTTGGTTGTGTTTATTTTCTCTACTGTTTTCCTACACTGTAGACATGATGACATCTATAATCAGTTCATTTTAGTAGAGGAAGTAATTCTCAATAAGGTTGCTGGGCCTCAACCAGTCAGTTGGAGGCCCTGAGAGCAAAATCTGAGGTTTATCTGAGAAGAAATTCTGCCTACAAACTTTCCAAGCTATGACCCTAAACTGCAGATTTCAGATTTGCTGGTCCTCATAATCGTGTAAGCCAACACACACACATACACACACACACACACACACCCAGTAGGATTCTGTTGGTTCTATTTTTCTGCAGAATTCTGGCTGACACTGATATACACCTCAAATATTCACTCACTAGTTTTAGCATCCCTCAGGTTTCCTTAGCTGAAATCATTATTGCTATGATATTTGCTAAGTGGTACTTTTTCTAATTTTATCATTCTTATTGTATTTATTGCTTGGTATTCTACTCTAGGGAAAACGTTTATCTTTTTTGCATTCATTTATTCATTTGTTTACTTTTGTCAATATGGATAATAATGGATTGTAAACTGTTACCATTATTATTCATTTTGATGCTCAAATTGTGCCAGAGCTTGCCACTGGGAATACTATTAAATTAGGCTTCAATGGGGCTTTAGAGATGCCCCATTATTTTTTGCCTACTTCCTTGCTTGCTTCCACAACAGAATACTTCCGGCTCACTTTGTATTTCCCCATCCCCTAGTCCTGAAATTTGCATTTCTAGGATCCTGGTAACCTTTTGTTGAGAAGGGTTTTGGAAAACACAGAAGGGGTTGCTGGGAGTGCTCACAGATACTAAAGTATTGTTGTTCCCAGGCCCTTTCTGTGGACATAACTAAAGCTAGGGTGTGTGTGTGTGTGTGTGTGTGGTGTGATGGGGAGAAAGAGAGGAGAGAAAGAGACAGTAATTGTACACGTATATAACTAAAACCAAAACTTCAATATATTTCCATATCCAATCTAATAATAAAAGCTCATTCTAGTTTTCTTCCCCTCCATATCTGTAACGTTTATTTCTAAAAACAATAAACCTGGCTTCAGTCATTCCCAACGTATTTGCTTCTTGGATCAACCTCTTCTGTAAGTAATCAATCTCTCATCATTGCTGCTGCCTTCCATGCAGACACCTAGTTCTATTTCCGATTTCCTTTCTGATTGATATTTACTTAGTGCATGTTTTCCGATCCTTCTTTACATTTTTTTTCTTGTTTGAGGCAGTTCTTTTCTAACCAGAATATAGTGGATCTTTGTAAACCACTCTGTTTCTTTCTCATCTATTTTTTAATGAAGAGTCTATTGCAACACACTGAGATTACTGGGCCATTGGGAGGAACTATCTTATTTATATTTTGTTTATATCTTGGTTTTCATATTTTCTCTTTCTTTATAACTTTTGAAATAATTAGAGCTTTTTCCTCTTCATTTTTTCCCTCTATTTATTCAGAAGATATTCACCCCGCTGTCAATTCCTTTAGTAGATAATCTAATCATTTTTCCATTCTATTTTACTTATTAAATTCTAAAATTAATCCATTTATTCATCCTTCTTTTAAACTCTGTAAGAACTCTCAATGTTTTACTTACAGTAACTGCCCATGCTTAATGATATTGCTGTCCATATTTTACTTACATCATAGTTTAACCTTCATATTAAATATTATTGTTTATGTCAGTATTTATTTGTTCAGATTTACTCATATATTTATCATTTTCCTTCCTCTTATTCTAGTCACACTTTCATACCCTTGTTCTGTGACAATATTCCTTCTTCCCCTAAAGAGTTTCTCTAGCTGAGAGCAGGTGAAGAATAAACAATTTCAATTTTGCTTGACTGAAAATGTATCAATTTTATATTTTCCTTTGAAAATAGATTTACTGGACACAAAATTTGAGACTGACAGTATGCTCTTTCAGCACTTTGAGGGTGTCAGCCATCTGTCTTTGCCTTCTATTGTTGGTGCTGAGAACTCAACCATTAGTTTAATTTTGGCTTACTTTTTAGGCAATCTGATTTTCTCTTTGGCAGCTTTTATTATTTTGTGTTGTCTTCAATGTTCTGTAATTTCAGTGAGACATGTCTACATGAATATTTAATACATTCTGGCGGAGGCTCACTGGGTTTTTTAATGTGCACATTGATATTTTTCAACAAATCTGTAAAGTTTGAACCACATTTTCTAATTTGTTCTCTTTGCAATTCTATATTTCTTCCTGAAGTTCTGATAGAACATGTGCTGACCTTCTCAAACTATCCTACATATCTCTATTTTTCTTTAATATGTACTCCCTCTCTTCCAGGTGAGTAATTTCCTAACACTATCCATATCATTTTTTGTATCTGTCACCAATGTTCTCTTCAGCTGTGTTTATTCTGGTGTACTGCCATTTCATTTTCATTGTAATTTTCATTTCTAGAATTTGTGTTTGACTCATATTTAAATTTATTTTCACACATTATACTCTCTTTTTTCTTTATCATATTTTAGTCAGTTTTATTTCTTTAGGTATCAAATATACTTAATTTATACACTGCATTGATGCTTCTAACATTTATAGTCATTGTGTTTCTGTTATTCCTTTCCTGATATCTTAAAGTAATTATGGCCTCTTTCCATTTATATTTAGAGATTTGATATATGACACTTTTTTTTCCTTTAACATTGTTAGTCAAAAATGAATGTTAAGTGTGCTTCCTCTGAATGGGTCTCCTCTTTCTCTCTCTGTCCTCCTCTCATGTACACACTCTCCTTCGTTTATTATTTTTTTATTCTAGGAGCCAGGAGGCACTAACCAATCTAATATTGACATAAACTAAATGTTCAGCTTGGGTGTGAAGTCAGGATTTCTTCTATTTTATTCACTAAATATGCCATCTATCAGAGGTCCTTACTTGAAGGAAGGTTTTGTCAGTGAAATTTCTCACCCTACTCTGGGACTTGGATCTGCCTCCTGTCTCCCATATACAGCTTCATAAATGTGTTCTAAGCCACCAGAAATTGGCATATACTCCTGAGGAAAATACTGGCTTCAGTCTTTGATCGCCCTGATTTATTTTTGTTTCTGGCCAGGATGTTATGTAAGAATCTTCACATCTTTACTTTAAATTTTAACTCACTAGAAATGAGTTTAATCTACTCTTATTCGACATTTAACACGGTCTTGAGATGTATGGACTATAAATCATGTTTAGAAGAATATATTTAACAGAATAATTTTTATATTTTATATAAATATTAATATACACACAACTATTGCAAAAGAAAATTATATTAACATTGCTAGTTACTAGATATTTTATAACGACTTTAAATGTTTTAAACACTGACATGTGGAATGTGTATTTTAAATTATTTTACTGTACCCTTGGGCTTAGTGACATAGGGTATAACTAATAAACTGTACAAATATGAATATTTATACACACACATAATCAACATATTTAAATATGGTGCTTGTCCTGATTGTTCAAACACCAAGTGAATTGAAATACCTTACCATCGTAAGAAACTTGCCTTTTTATGGAGACTATAGCGAGAATTCATTATATTACTTGTGAAACACTCATGAGAAATCCTTTTTGTTAAGGGTTTCACATCCATTCTAGTTACACATTTACCATGTTCAACCCAGAAACATTATTTCTTTGGAACAACATTCAAGAAGATGCCCCTTGAACCCAAGAGGCGGAGCTTGCAGTGAGCCGGGATAGCGCCACTGCAGTCCAGCTTGGGCGAAAGAGTGAGACTCCGTCTCAAAAAAAAAAAAAAAAAAAAAAAAAAAGAAGATGCCCCTGGGAAATACAAAAGGCAAGTGATAAAGTTTAAAGGATTGCTTTAAAAAGTTGTAGAAGTAAAGGCTTTATTCAATTGCTGAGTGTGTTCAGTAGAAGCTCCATGCATTTTTTTTTTTAGTAGACACAGGTAGGATTTGCTTGTATTTTGAGTGAAATCTAGAGACAATTTGAATATAGAGCAAAGGGAGAGAATACAGAAACCACACTCCACATATAGAATTGGTCTTAAGAGTTCCCTCTGAGAATTTCAGAGCATGCCAGAGTTGATAAATGCCTCCTAACTGCCACACACAGCCCAGAAATCATTAAATGTTAGTCTCAGCCATCACTCCCATCACCACACAATTTCAATCTAAGAGCAGAAAACATTAGGATTGTAAATGTTTATAACACAGAGAGAGGGAAAAAGGCATTTTGGTTCTTAGGAGAATGAGGACTAGTTTACTGATAAAAAGATCTTTTTAAGAAAGCATTAAGGCCAGGTGTGGTGGCTCATGCCTATAATCCCAGCACTTTGGGAGGCCGAGGCTGGCGGATCTTGAGGTCAGGAGATCGAGACCATCCTGGTCAACATGGCGAAACCCCGTCCCTACTGAAAATACAAAAATTAGCTGTGTGTGGTGGCATGCACCTGTAATCCCAGCTACTTGAGAGGCTGAGGCAGGAGAATCGCCTCGACCAGGGAGTTGGAAGTTGCAGTGAGCCGAGATGGTGCCACTGCACTCCAGCCTGGTGACAGAGCGAGACTCTGTCTCAAAATAACAACAACAACAAAAAGCATTAAGTCTGATCTATGATTAAACCCAAGCTAGTATATTTTTTGAACTTACTTTATCCTTTATTTGATATAATATGAATTCTGCATTTTCACCCATATTGAGACAGACAGGGTTTTTTACAATTTCTTTGGCTGCTCGGCTTTAGAACTGCCTTTGTGATTAAGGAATGGCATCTTAGGAAGTGAGCTTCACCTTCCCCTATAGAAACTGAGAATGCTCAAGTTTCCCTTTCTTAGGCTCTCTTGCACGTTAGGGAGGCTACGTGATCCAGGCTTCTCCAACTAACCAGGGCGGACATGCTGACCTCATCATTTGTTTGTGACCTGAACCACTGAGGAAGGAACCCATACTTACTATGAGTGATGATGACAAATAGTGGTTACCTCCAGGTTCTAGAGGTAATAATAGGAATGGACCTACTGTGCTGTCCACCATTGGCAGCATGCGTTTTGGGAACACAAGTTTTCTGTCCTCAGTTGCAGTATCTATTCTGGCTTAATCTTTATTGATTGATTGATTGATTGATTGATTGATTGATTTTTGAGACTGAGTCTCACTCTGTTTCCAAAGCTGGAGTGCAGTGGGTGTGATTTCGGCTCACTGCAACCTCTGCCTCCTGGGTTCAAGCAATTCTCGTGCCTCAGCCTCCCGAGTAGCTGGGACTACAGGCGTGCATACCACGCCCAGCTAATTTTCGGTATTCTCAGTAGAGATGAAGTTTTGCCCTGTTGGCTAGGCTGGTCTTGAACACCTGACCTCAGGTGATCTGCCCGTCTCAGCCTCCCAAAGTGCTGGGATTACAGGTGGCTTAATTTTGAGTATTATTTCTCTCCATGTAGCTTCCAAATCTTGTTTGCTATAATTCCCTTCAGTCTCTATAAATCATTCCATATTGTTTTAATACATTCCTCTTCATTTTAAATTATTAATATTTTATTTCTTTTGCCTTCAATTAAGTATCTAAATAAAAAGTTAAAGGTTACATAGTTTACTTTGTTCTTCAGTATTTTCATTTAAGAAAATAAGTAATATCAACATTTTTAACTGTAAATAATTTGAGAATGATTATAATTTTAGCTAGCTTTTTTGAAGATAAACCTGTGTGTTAGGCACTATGCTAAGTGTTTTATGTGTAATGTCCTATATCATATTTAACATGATCACACAATACCGGTACTGTTATTATCTTTATTTTGCGGATGTAAAAATTGAGCCAAAGATGGCCTTAATAATTTGACTAAAGCTACACCGTTAGCAAGTGTAATGGCTTTTCACTGGTTTTCCATTGTCATAACTTCAGATTCTGTTCAGATAAAGCTAGAGCTCAAAAAGAGACTGCCTTGTCATACACAGTTTGATGTTTTATCAAGTGCCTATTACATATAAGTTATTGTGGTTAGTGTTAAAAATACGTCCTTTGCAGGGAGATGGATGACGCCAGAAACCATCATTCTCAGCAAACTAACACAAGAACAGAAAACCAAACGCTGCATGTTCTCACTCATAAGTAGGAGTTGATCAATGAGAACACATGGACACAGAAAGGAGAACATCACACACTGAGACCTGTCAGGGAGTCAGAGGCTGAGGAAGGGATAGCATTAGGAGAAATACCTAATGTAGGTGACGGGTTGATGGGTGCAGCAAACCACCATGGCATGTGTATACCTATGTAACAAACCTGCACATTCTGCACATGCATCTCAGAACTTAAAGCATAATAAAAAAATACAAAAATTAATTAAGTGATATCCATATGCTTAATCCATCTTTCAGGCTAAAAGTAATGTAATTACAAAACTCTTACACATTGAATAATTTTCTATAAAAGTGGGATGTATAAAGTATATGGCAACTCACATAAGTGAAGAATGATTTCTCCATATAGGTGTCAGAAAATGCCACAGAGCACAGAAGACAAGAAGAGCTCCCTGCTGCATATATTGCATCTTCCGTTGGGCACAGTTTCACTGATGTTATCTGTAAACAGAAAGGGTGAGACGTGATGACTCAGCCAACCCTCCAAATCCTGAGGGTCATCTATGCTGCCGGAGGCAGAAAGTGTCACTCCCGTTTCACTCCCCGCAGCTGTGTTGTTTGGAATTTCTGAAGATTTTATTTTTGATGAGCAACTTTGGGAGACGAAAAAAAAAAAAAATGAGGCCAGGTGTGGTGGCTCACACCTGTAATCCTAGCACTTTGGGAGGCTGAGGTGGGTGGATCACCTGAGGTCAGGACTTTGAGACCAGCCTGGCCAACAGGGTGAAACCCTGTCTCTTCTAAAAATACAAAAACTACCTAGGTGTGGTGGTGCACACCTGTAATCCTAGCTACTCAGGAGGCTCAGGCAAGAGAATGGCTTGAACTCGGGAGGCAGAGGTTGCAGTGAGCTGAGATCATGCCACTGCACTCTAGCCTGGATGACAGAGTGAGACCCCATCTCAAAGAAAGAAAAAACAAAAAACATAAAACAAAACAAACAAATATAAAATTGGTGAATATTTGGGTTGTATATTAAGATAGAAAAAATGTATGCACTTGTACTGGTCATGGTTGACTACAAAACATTTTAATTACATAGATAATTAAATATTGTCTCTGTATGAGAAAGCAATTTTGTCAATCAGAATCAAGTCTGAACTTCTAAACAAATAGTTGTATGAATAAGTGGTTCAAGAAGAAATAATTCTTCACTATCAAACATATTTTAGATGTAATACCTTTGGTGGAGATAGATCAGGTAGACGCAGCATTCGTTTCTTACTGCTGCTAAAATAGGCTGCACAAATTTCGTGGCTTAAAATGACGCACATTCATTATCCTACAGTTTTGGGTATCAGAAATCCAACATGAGTCTCACAAGCTAAAATCAAGGTGTTGGCATGGTTGAATTCCTTCTGGAAGCTCTAGGACAGAATGCATTTCCTTGCTTATTTCAGCTTCTAGAGGCCACTCGCATTTCTTGACTCTGGTCCCCTTTCTATTTTGAAAGACAACAACACTCTCCCTTCATCCTCTGCTTCCTTTATCATATCTCCTCAACACTCCCACTTTGTCAGGACTAAGTCCTGGCCCTGCTCACCTCAGGCCACCATGCTGCTCGCTCCTTTGTCTCCCGGTCACTGGACACTGGACACTTTCTGTTTGCCTGTTTTCCATGTACAGCTGGAACCTGGTCACAAATCTTACCTGCCTTCTGTTTCTAGAGATGCACCAACATTCAGTCTATAGGGATGCACTGGAAGTCTCAAAAATGTGGGAAAACATTTGCTGACTGTATTTTCTACTCATGAGGTATTATTATTATTATTGTTATTATTAGTATTTTGAACCTGAGAGATAGGGATCCCTGGACTATTTGGTGTACATCTTTATTTCTAGACAGGCTTTAGTGAAGTATAATCAGCATATCATACTACATATTCACCAATTGCAATGTACGGTTCGATGACTTTTAGAAAATGTATCCAGTTACGCGACTTTCACCCCAATTCAGCTTTAGAACACTCCCATCTCCTCAAAGGTTCCTACTTGACTATTCACAATGTATCTACACTGCCACCCCCAGCCTCAGGCAACCAAAAATCTGCTTTGTGTGTTTGTGGTTTATGTTCCTATTTTATATAAAGAGAATATAATATGTAATCTTTTTGTCCCTCCTCTTCCGTTGAGCATAATGTCTCTGAGCTTCATCCATGTTTTTGGCATATTCGTACTTTGTTCCTTTTTATTGGTGAGATATACCACGTTATGTTTACTTATATACCAGTTAATGGCTAATTACATTATTTCTACATTTTGTTTATTATAAATAGTACTGCTGTAAATATTCGTGTACAAATCTTTTTGTTTTCATTTCTTTTGTGTAAAATATTCCAGAGTAGAATTGCTAGCTCATATGGTAAGTGTATATTTAACTTTTTAAAGTTAAACAAACTTCCAAATGCTGCATCATTATGCATTCTCATCAGCAATGTATGAGGCTTCTAGTTGCTTCACATCCTTGCTACAATTTGTTATTTTCAGGGTTTTTAAAAACAAAATTATAGTCATTCTATTGGTTGCAAAATGACATCTCATTATGGTTACATTTTATGTTCCCTAGTCTAGGAATAAAGAAAAATTCATCAACATTATAACATCTATTAAAAAAATACAGCTAATGTCACTCTTATTAGTGAAAGATTGAATGCTTTTCACCTAAAATCAGGAGCAAGCGAGCATGTCCATTCTCACCACTGCTAGTGATCATAGTACTAAAATGTCAACCAGTATAATAAGGCACTAAAATAAATAAAAAGCATGCAGATGGAAAAGGAGAATAAAACTCAGCTTACTTGCAAATGATCATCTGTAAAAAAATACTAAGTTAAAAAAAGAAAAACTCTTAGAACTAATATAAAGTCAATGTACAAAGTTCAATTGTATATCTACATCAGTAATCCACTGAGAAAATTTAAAACACAGTGACATTTAGAATGACTCCAAAAAATACTTATACATTTAACCAACATGTACAGAAGCTGTATGTCAAAAACTAAAAATGCTGATAGAAACTTAAAAAAAACAAATAAATAAAACATCATGTTTTAAGGACTAAGAAACTCAACAAAGAAAAGATGTCAATTCTCTCCATAAATAGCTAATGCATGCGGGGCTTAATGTCTAGGTGATGAGTTGATAGGTGCAGCAAACCACCATGGCACACGTTTACCTATGTAACAAACCAGCACATCCTGCACATGTATCCTGGAACATAAAATTAAATTAAATTTCAAAAAATTCTTTCCATATCGGTCAACAGATTTAATCCAATTGGTATCAAAATTATGGCAGGAGTTTTTGTAAATATACACAAGCTGATTCTAAAATTTATATAGAAAAGCAAAGGAGCTGGAAGAGTTAAAACAATCTTGAAAAAGAACAATAAAGTTGAAGACAGCCCACTACCAAATTGTGGAATTATATTACAGCTACCATAGTCAAGACAACGTGATACTGTTGGGTGTGTGGACATGGATCAACAGAACAGAATATACAGTGTCAAATGAAAAACACGTTCAGACTCAGTAAGGCAGGAGTTTATCAGAAATAATCATTTGGGGATAGGCTATTGTAATGGGGAGAACACTCAACTAACTAAGGTCAGCAAAATCTCAAGGATTATAGAGCAGATTAAACAGGTGAGAAGGCACTGGGTACAGGGAAGTGGAAAGAAAGGGTGAAGTGCTCAGACAGTAGATGAGAGTATGTTTTACTCTGTAGTCAGCCTGTTTTCTAGAGGGGGCCCTGAAGGAAGGATGGTGTGCTGGCTGAGGGTGGGTGGGCTAAAGTTCAAGAGAATCTTAACTAAATTTTGTTAAGAAGCATTTTGTTCCCACTGATCAGTGGAGACATGCAGTTCAGCTCATCACTGATAAAGAATGGGAATTTGGGGTCTCTGTGTCTAGCCGTGTTCTAGGTCAACCAAGTGGCATCCTTGATTCCATTGTAGTCACATAGGAAGTGCGGTTCTTTAGGGTGAGCTATATCCCAGAACATGGGATAGAGTGATCCTTCACCTTTGTTTCCCCAGGGCCACAGGGCTCAAGTAAAATTCAGCATTGTCAAGAACTTAGAAATATGCGAACACAATCACGCCTGTAATCCCAGCACTTTGAGAGGCTGAGGCGGGTGGATCACGAGGTCAGGAGATCGAGACCATCCTGGCTAACATGGTGAAACCCCGTCTCTACTAAAAAAATACAAAAAAAATACAAAAAAAAATTAGCTGGGCATGGTGGCTGGCGCCTGTAGTCCCAGCTACTCGGGAGGCTGAGGCAGGAGAACGGCGTGAACCCAGGAGGCAGAGCTTGCAGTGAGCCGAGATTGCATGACTGCACTCCAGCCTGGGTGACAGAGCGAGACTCCGTCTCAAAAAAAAAAAAAAAAAGGAAAAAAAAACCGAAAGAAATATGCGAACGCAAACACACCCAACTGATTTTTCAACAATTTGCAGAAGCAATTCAGTGGAGAAAGTCTTATCTTTTAAACAAAAGGTGTTGGAACAAATGGACATCCACAGGCAAAATCTAAACAAGCAAATTTAAAAACTCATTGAGCCTCAGAGTTTATTTATAAATTAACTTATAGATTCAAATATAAAATGTATAACTGTAACTTCCAAAAAAAATGGAGAAAGTCATTGCGACCTAATATTAGGCAGAGTTCTTAGACATGAAACCAAGAACACAATCCATTAAAAACAGAAATGAAACATCGGACTTCACCAAAATTAAAGCGTTTTGCTCAAGGAAAGACTTTGTTAAGAGCATAAAAACGTAAGCCACAGGGGGAAATATCAGCAAATCACACATCTGACAAAGTATTTGTTTTGAAAATGTAGAAAGTACTTTCTAAGTGTAACAGTAAGAAAACAAACAATTTAGCTGGAACATGAGCAAAAGACTTAAGAGATATTTCACCCATCCAAGAGGATATACAACAGCAAATATGCCCATGAAACAATGTTAGCACCATTGTCCATTAGGGAAATATAAGTTAAAATCACAATGAGATGCCAGTACACTCTGGTAAGAATGGCTAAAACTTTTTTTAAAAGTATATGCTGTTAATACTGACTTCCGGTAACAGTGTGGAGAAAATGGATCTCAACACTTTGCTTGTGAGACTATAAAATGGTTATAGCCATTTTGGAGAACAGGCTTAGTTGGCAGTTAAATATACACTATATTAATACACACGATAGAACCCAGAAATTACATTCTTAGATATTTATAATTAAGGAATGAAAACAACTTCACACAAAAAGCTGGATCGCAGGGCTAAGCAAGATGTGATCGGCCCACATGATAATATAGAGTTACCATATGACTCAATAATTGGGTAGCATTTGTCCACACTAAAAACCTGAATGCAATTGTTTATAATAGTATTATTCACGATAGTAAAATCATAGAAACAACCCAATTTTATCAAATAATAAATACATAAATAAAAGTGATATATTCATAAAATGGAATAGTATTCAGCAATAAAAAGTAATGGAATTCTGACACGTGCTAAAATATAAAAGATCCTTAACAGTATTCTGTTAAAGAAGTCAGTCATAAAAGACCACATGTATGATTTTATTCATTTCAAATATCTAGAGTAGAAATTCTATAGAGAGAGACAGAAAGAAAGTACATTCTATTTTTTTTTCTTTTTAAAATAAAGACAGGGTCTTGCTGTGTTGTCCAGGCTAGTTTCAAACTCCTGGGCTCAAGCAATCCTCCTGCCTCAGCTTCCCAAAGTGCTGGGATTACAGGCATGAACCACCATGCCAGGCCAGAAAGGAGAGTCTTGATTGTCTAGTGCTGTGTGGGCTTTGAGGTCAGGGCACTGGGAGTGACTGGTAATAGGTATGGAGTTTCCTTTTGCGGTGAAGAAATATTTTAAAATTAGATTGTGGTGATGGCTGCACAACTCTGTGAATATATTAAAATCTATTGACTTATTTATTCTAGATGGATGAATTTTATGATCTGAGGTTTATCTCAGTTAAACTCTTAAAATAGTTTATATACTTTATCGTTTCATACATATAAAATTCTTCAAATGTCAAAATTACAATAATGAAGACAATTCCACAATTGTCAAGTTTTAGGATTGGAAGTAGGGTGTGCCCATATGTTAGTATTATATCAATGTCAAATTTCTGGTTCTGATGATGTACCATGCTTTGGTAAGATGTTGTCTCTGGGGGCAGCTGGATGAAAGGTGTGTGGGAACACTACTACTTTTGCAATTTTTTTTGAATCTAAACTATTTCAAATTTAAAGTTTAAAAAAATCTAACTACTGAGAAAATGAATCTTATTTTTGAGAAAGAAACTTTCTGACACATTTGGAGCCAATATTGCTCTGGGTCAAAATCCACTTGAGCGGCTGTATTACTGATATTTCAGTTCATTGGATACTTCTCTTTTATAACTTAAGTCTTGTGGTTGGTTCAGTTATGTCCACAAATTGATCTGTTTGAGCTTTGAAGTGTTCTGCTTCTGAGAACATTACCTTCAACATTTAGAGAGATGTTCGGTCAGAAATACTTCAGGTTTCAGGAACAAACGCAACACATTTAGTCACATCATCTTCCACTTATTAAAAAAAAGAAAAATGAAAATATATGATTTCATAATACTAACCTCTGAAAAAGGAGAAACTAAGCAGTATAAGCAGCAATGCATTAGAAACTGACCAACTATCTGTTTCTTTTATATACATTGTCTCTCTAGCATAATTTTTAAACAACAACATGGGTTAGCTCACCCATGAATGTGTGATTTATTGATCAGTCTTATCCGTCTTTCACTGAATCTGTGAGATCATGTGAGTTTTGAAGAAAAAAAGAAAAGAAAAGCTCAAAAATGATACCTGCTGGGCCTGCCAATACAAGAGTATTTTTGACAATTACAAGACAAAACAACCATATTGTCATAAAGGCTTTGAGAGAATTAAGTGAACCATATTGACAAGATATCATGGCAGCGTCTGGTGGGTTGTTTCAGATGAATGCTCTCATTTCCTTGTCAATGTGCTAATATGTGATGAATTTCATGGACTATCTTTGTTTCTCACAGCACTTTGGATGCAGAAGATGTTACCTTGAGCAAAACCGCTGCTATATATTATATAAACTACCTCCATAAGAAATGTAGATACTCTCAAAGATGTGAAAGTAGAAATTTCCAAGTTTTCCTCCAAATTGTCAGTCAAAAGAAATTGCCATTACTGTTATACAAGCTTAACAAAACATATAGGAGTAATTTTTTACTATACATATGTATATTTTGGAATAGTGACTTTTTAAAATGGGCATTCTTATGGAAAAACTCTTATCCCTGCTCCAAAGACAAGAAAAATAGTGAAAAACTTGATATTTTCCAAGTGTGATTCAGGAACTAGTCACTCTCTGTCTCAGGACTGACCTTCTTATCCTTCATTAGATAAGGAAGTAATGGCTACTGAAATACTGGACTCCCCTTTACAGAATGGTCATAGATCAGAATAGCATTTAATATTATAGTGTCTCATTTTTTTCTTTTGGAATGAATTAAATATCATTCTATGACATTCCTTACTGATAATATTAATTATAACATATTACGTATTTATCAAAATGCTTTTGTAATAGAAAAAATAGAAAATTATAGCTACTAAGTAGGGGACAAGTTATATTAATTATGATGTTCTCATAATATTGCAATGCCATAAAAGTGAGGTACATATGCATGTGCTAATACAAGAAATTATAAAGTATAATTTGTTAAAAACAGATGAATAACTAGCATCATTTTTTTCTAAAGAAATGAGAATATACACATTTATTTTTTATTTTTTTCAGTAAAAGTCATAAAAAAATGAAAATGTTGGTTATGTTACCAAAACCCCAGAGTTTCAGTCTAGGTCCTGTTGCTCACCATACAGAAAGCCAATCACTGAGACAACAAGTATTACCAAGGAAGAAGTCTTTAATTAGGTGCTGCAGCCAAGAAGACGGGAGCTCAATCTCAAATCCGTTTCCCTGACCAACTATTGTAAAATTAAGGCTTTATATAGCAGGGAAAAAATGTAATCATATGTGGGAAAACAGGAATTAGGGAGAGCTAAAGAAGAAGAGTTGGTAGACAGGCAACAGGTGGTTGCTTAGGCAATCATGAGGGTGAGGGGTCTGGTGTCTCATTGTTCAGATGCGGTGATCTGATGCGTTTCAGCTTTTTTAAACTCTCTGGGAGGCCTGATGGTTGGTTCCCTGAGAAGGAAACTCAGATAAGACAAATGTAACTTTTTCCAATTTCAAGACTGAAGATCAATTTCTATGTTTATTCAAATAAACCATTAACATCACTCCCATGGGCCAGTTGGGCCAGTTCCAGTCACCTCTAGTAAGATAAATTGAAGGCTGGAGTGAGGGTAGATGCTTTTACTTTTCATGTATTTCCTTCTTAAATGGTTTAAATATTTTAACTATATATGAATAGTACTCTGTCATATTAGTCGTTTGAAGGAGGAAGACTAAGAACTGCTTTTTCTTGTAATTCATTACACTGTGTTTCTTAAAAATGAAAGGAACAACAATGATAGAGACCCCCATGCTTGTATACTTCACAGATTTGGGGGCTTTGGTTTGTCTGGTTCAGTTTTCCATCATTTGTGTCTGGCCATATGAGCAACTCAATAAATGTTCGTTTAATGAATGCTATTAACATTTTATTATGGCATTGAAGTTAAAATAATAAAACTATTTAAATATAAAATAAAATGGATTGAATGATGTTTTTAGCATGTTCTCGTTTTCTCCCAAGCATTTACTTTGCCTGATGACAAGAGATGAAATACCATTAATAAAATATTTCTGATGCTCAAGTCTTTATAAAGGTATAAAAAGAAAGCAGATAATTTGCTCACTTATTAACTATTTATGAATGCTTAACATGAATCAGATGGAAGAGAACAGTAAGCATGCACATGTGTAGATAAAATTTAAATTATCGTATGAACATAATCATAAATAGAATTTGGTATAAGAAGTTGTGAAAGCAAAAGCATTTATGTGAATTGGCCTTTCCATTGAAAGTATCTCTGGTTAAATTACACACAGGCCAAAACCCAGTGACGGGGAGAAAGAAAGAGGTGGAAAATTCTTTCAAAGCAGAGATAATTTTGATTGAGGATAACCCGAGGCATACAAGATCTTATCATAATCCATGAAACCTGAGAAAACATGCATGGCTCATGGAAGCATATAGGAGAATAGGACTACAGAGATCGCAGGGGCCCATCTCAGAATCGAGTCATAGTACATTTGATAGAATTTATTCTTTAGTCCAGGAGCCATCAGAAGCCACTGAAAAGTTTTAAGAAAATGGCTAGTTGATCAAATGCGTTTACTGTGTTTGTTAATACTACCATGTGTTTTTTCCCTTTTCTCTAGACTGTTAATATAATGAACTACATTAATTGATGTTTAAATGTTCAACAAGTTCAGAATTTTGGAAGAAATCTGATTTATTAGTAATATTATTTCAACAGATGGATGGAAAGATAGATTTATACATACATAACAGGATTTGATTTGCTCACATTTTGCTGAAGAGTTGTATGTCTGTGTTTATGTGGGATATTGTTCAGGAGTTGTCTTTTTTGTACTGTCTTTTTCTATTTTTAGCATAAAAGTAAAACTGGTGTCATAAAATGATTTGAGAAATGTTCATTTATCATCTACTTCTGGATGAATTTGAGTAGGATTATTGTTACTCTATCATTATCTAGTAGAATTAAATCACCTGGGTATGAAGATGGTTCTTCTTGGTGAATAGTTTTTTGTCAATTTGTAGTTGTCAAGAGATTAGTCCATTTTATCCAACTGGTCAAATTTATGTACACATAGTTCTTTGTAGTACTATAATTCTTGTAATACCTCTGTAGTCTCTAGTGATATCCCCTCTACAAAATTCCTAATGTTAGCAATTTGTGTCTGATCTATTGAGTTCTTTGTCAGCCTTGTGAGAAATTTATCAATTGTTTTGATCCTTTAAAAAGTGTAGCTTTGGTTTTATTAACTTTTTAAATTGTTTTCATGTTTTTAATTTCATTGATATCTGCTTTCATCTTATTTCCTTCCTTCTACTTGTTTTGGGTTTATTTTCTTCTATTCTTTCTGGTTTCTTGAAGTGGAAGTTTCAGTTAGTCCTTTGAGGTGTCTCAGTTATGTTTTAAATAATGTTTTAAAAATAAGCAAATGTATCTCTCTTATTACCAAAGTGTTTAGTTTGCCTGATGAGAAGAGATGAAATACCATTAATAAAATGCTTCTGATGCTCAGGTCATTATGAATGAGTGAATGCTAGACCATTCTTCATTCCATTCCTTTGTGTGATCAGTATCTCTACCTGGAATCCTTTCCCTCTGACTGAAAGACTTTAATACTTCTTTAGTCGCTGGACCGCTAGAGATGAATTTGTTCAGGTTTCGTAGATCCAAAAAATATTTCTTTTACCTTGATTTGTAAAAATATTACTGAATATAAAATTCTGATTTTTTTTGACATTACGGTAAATGTTTAACTCCATGGACTTAGAGCTGGCATTTTTTAATGAGAAGTCTCCCGCACTGTTTTTCTTTTGGCCTTTATACATAAGGTATCTTTCGGGGCTGCTGCTTCCTAAGAATTTTTCCCACTAATTTTAAACAATTTGAATATGATCAGCCTTGTTCTATTATTAATGTTTCTTCTTCTTTTGCTTCATAAAAATTTTTAGGCCTATGTATTTATGCTTTTTACTAAATTTGAAAAACAGTGGCCATATTTATTCAAATATTTCTTAAGGATTCCAGTTATAAATATTGTTAGCCTCTTGATGTTCTCCAGCCTGCTGATTCTCTGCTCATTTTTCCTTCAATCTTTTAATCCTACTGGATTTCCTTTTAGATAGTTTTGACTTCTAGCCTTTAAGTTAATTTGCCCCCCTTTTTTTGCAATGTTATATGCTGTTAATCTCACTCAATACATTTTTATATTAGACATTGTATATTTCATCTCCATAATTTTCATTTGAGTGTTTTTGCATTTCATATCCATCCTCAAAATGTTCATATATTCCTCTACTTTTTCAACCTATTGAACATATTCAAAATAGCTTCTTTAATATCCTTGTCTAATAATTCCACATCCTACAGTCTGTTTCTATTGATTGATTACTCTCCTCACTGTGGGTCATTTTCCTTGCTTCATTTCACGCCTGGTAATTTTTTATTAGATGCTTAACATTGGAAATTTTATCTTGTCAGGTGATATTTTCCTCTATATATCTTTGACTATATTTCAGCTGTTTTCTAAGATTCAATTAAGTTGCTTTGAATCAGTCAATTATTTCCAGGCTTGTTTTTAAACATTCTTAGCTGGGAAAAGAGCAGCGCTTAATCTAGAGCTAACTTGGCCAGAGTACTGAGGTCATACCCTTCTGAGAACTCTACTCAATGTGCCATTCCACGTGTTAGTGAGTCTTCTCACTCTACCTAGGGGGACACACTACTATTCTTAGCCCAGAGTCAGCTCTTAGGATAGTTCTATATGCCTATTATCTTTGCCCAGTTGTGAGCCTTGTTCAGTATTCAGCTGAACTCTTAATGTGACCCGTCCTTAAATCTCCAAAGGTCTCGTTATATCTACCACTTTGCTAATATTTTGCATTGTGATTGCTAGCTGCCTGGCCTCCCTAAATTATAAATTCTGCCTTCTCAACTTAGAGAGGCAACCAGGCACTGTATGTGTTCCCTGTACTGCAGCCTGGAATTCTCTTGAGGCTGTAAGCTGAGTCAGCCGTAGAGCTCACTTCACCCGTTCTCTTATGTCAGGGATCACTGTCTTGTGAGGCTTGTTTCCAATATCTGAAAACCAGTGTTTGATATATTTTGTTTGGTATTCTACTTGTTCAAGACAGGAGTTTAAAACTAATTCCTGATATTCCATTATTTTCGGAAACAAAATCTATGGCATTCTACTATTTTAATCATTGTAATTTTATTATATATATTCAATGATAATAGAATCAGAGCATTATCTTCTATTAATCTTTAGTTTTCTAAACGTTCTTTATTGCCTATACATCTTTCTGAGGATTCAGAATCATTCTGTCACAAACCTATTCTTGACCCAATACCCCTTCATCTCAACAAAGACACCTTCCCCATAGGATGCCAACGGATGTCTGTAAAACTGGAAATACGCTGGCTTTCACAGCAGATTCAGGTATTTCTTAAGCATCAGACAAAGACCAGTCAAAACTCAGTGAATCTGTGTGCCTTTATCTATTCATTATCTCTCTTACGTCTCCATCATGCTATGCAACTCTTATCCCATGAAATGACCAAACGCCCAGGCTTCCAAATTAATTATATACTCTTCAGCACATAATCAAGGGTAAGCATATAAGTTCTATTGCTCACAGACTAAAAAATGGAAAAATAAAGTCCAAAGTAAACTGGAGATAACAGCTGTCATAAATAAAAATTGGAATGGGCTGGGACAGTACCGAGAAAACCTTTATAGCAATTTGACAGAGAAAACCTTCCTAGCTCACTCATATTTGTGACACAGATGAGTAATGTGATTACTCCCAGCTCCTGGCAGTAAAAACTTTATTGCACCCCACAGGATCAGATACAATGTTTATTTCTTTCTCCGAGTGCATTAACATACACTTCTTTTTCACAGAAAAACATGCAATTTGAGTCATCTTTTTCAAGGTTGATTCTTTATGTGACCTTAACAATTATACCACAAAGTATGATGGCTGTGACAGAGAGCCAAGGCGCACATGGCTTTCAGCAGAGGTCAAAAAGACACAGGGCATGAAGAGAATATGGGACGAAAGAGATTTATTAATATTTGTCTCTCTTAAAGGAACTAAGCAGGTGTAGGTGGCATTCGGAAGAGGCATACAGGGACGTAGAGGCACAGTTTCCCATGGACTGAGATGAAGCTCCTCCTCCTAACATCCTCCCACAGGTGCAGTAATCTTGGGGAGCTCTTCTATGCACGCTGCAGTGATGTGTACACCAAGTGGGAAGCGTACGGAAGAAATACTGCATCTGCCTCTTGATGGTCTTCCTAAAACAGCACTTTAACTTATCTCTCCATGACCTGAATTTCAGTGCTGAAAATGTCCTGAGGAAAAAGTGTGTCAAACCAATTGTTCTTTCAACGTTTTAACCCACTATGCCAGAAATATAGTTGGAAATACATTTTTTCCAGCAATTAAAATATATCATTGGAGCAGGAAAGACTGTAAGGCTAAAGGAAAAATCAATTCCATCTTTCTTTTTTAAACAAACAAAAAAGAAAAAAACTGGATTTTTGATGTACAGAGAGAACTATTGGTAAACCACAGCAAATGATAAAGACAATTCTGATGACAAAAATTAACAAATATTAATGTTTTGATTCCATCCATCTACACGTGTTACATGTCAGCTATGAGGTTATTTAGGATGTGTATTGCAAGTAAATGGTTTGAGTTGGTTGTTTTTGAGTCTCTTTTGCTCTGTAAAAAAGAGGAATAGCAGGAGATAATGATAAGAAAATCAGGCTTTGATAACTGAAATAGTTTTTTTTTATTTTAAAGCAGGTGTATGATAAAACATAAGATTAGTTTTAAGTAACTTAAATCACATAACTTAAAGTGACAAGGAACAATTGAAAAATAATTGTACTAGCTGTATCAGTACATTCTCACACTATTATAAAGATACTACCTGAGGCTGGGCATAGTGGCCCATGCCTGTAATCCCAGCACTTAGGAAGGCCGAGGTGGGTGGTCACTGGAGGTCAGCGGTTCGAGACCAGCCTGGCCAACATTGTGAAATCCTGTCTCTACTAAAAACACAAAACTTAGCCAGGCTTGGTGGCACATGCCTGTAATCCCAGCTACTCAGGAGGTTGAGGCACGAGAATTGCTTGAACCTGGGAGACAGAGGTTGCAGTGAACCGAGATCATGCCACTGCACTCCAGCCTGGGTGACAAGTGAGACTCTGTCTTGAAATAAATTAATTAATTAAATAAGATAGTACTTGAGACTGGGTAATTTATAAACAAAAGGGGTTTAATTGACTCACAGTTCCCCATGGCTGGGGAGGCCTCAGGGAACTTACAATCATGGCAGAAGTGGGAAAGGAAGCAAGTCATGTCTTACACGGTGGCAGGAGAGAGAGAGCAAGCAAAGGGTAAGTGCCACACTTTAAAACCATCAGATCTCATGAGAACTCCCTCACTATCATGAGGACGGCATAAGGGAAACCACCCCCATCATCTCATCACCTCCCATCAGGTCCCTCCCTCGACAAATGGGGATTACTATTGATTATAGTTCAAGATGAGATTTGGGTGGGGACACAGAGGCAAACCATATCACTAGCCTTCAAATCCCATTCTGCTTTATAGGGAGAATACAATTCAGGACAATGAAGCTCAACACTGAAGACAGCTCAGGATTTTTAGTATTCTTACAGCCCTGCTTATACTTTTCTCAGACACATGGTTTCATGGCCCATGGTCTTTTTGAGTTAAAATTAAGTATGCCCACTTCTTATTTTCCATATCCTAGTCGTAAGTTTTTTTTACTGCAGTTCGTTATTTTTTTCTCCCTCCTATACAACATTTTGAGGAAAGCAGGTGGCCAGAAAATATTTTTGACTGAATGGATGGAGCAAGATGATGAGTGAAGAGCCCAATTTCTTTCCTTTCATAAGGGAGTCAAAAGATAGTGTTGGTGAGAGAATGTGGATTCTTACAGCAAAGTGCAACTGTGAGAAAGATGGAAGATTTAATTCAGGCTATTTCAAGGCTCAGCAATCTAGACAGGTGAGAACTGGGCCATCAATCCAAACAAGGGGAAACAATAAATGGACCTGGGGGAAAAGGCCAGATATGATGATTGTGGGAGACTGGAAAACATGATAGTTTCAAATTGCTCTGAAGGAATTTCTGAGCTTAGTAAAATACATCTCTGGGGCCTTTGGATATGGTGCATTGTGAGCTTTCAAAGGATTCCAAAGTTCAGGCATTGAGCTGCTTTCTCTTTTGATATTTCAAATTCAATGAAGCTATTGCATTTATATTTGGTTTAATAAAAAAATTCATTTAAGCACAAGCATATGTAGCTTCAAATCCATGTGTATGCTCCCCCACTTAAGGATGAAAGAAATATCTAGTCAAGGGAATATGTGCCTTGATTTATTTCTCTGGCAGTAATGATGAATTGCACTATGTCATCTACAGTCCCATGACATGTCACTTCTATAACCCTTGGTGTGCAACTACAAGATAGAAAGGTTAGAGGTGCAGGTGATCGCTATGCACAAGGGTTTTTCCTAACTGAGGAACTAACTGGCCCATACAGGGATTAAAACCACAAGCCTGGCCCTCATAATCACCACTCTAACCTCCAGAGCTAACTGACCCAGACAATAAAGGCTGCAGGAGATACCTGCTGAGCTATTAGGTTGATGAATGGGAAGGACTTCAGAGTATAGCATCTTGTGAAAAATAATATAATAATTTAAGTAGTTGTCCATCCCAGTGGTACCAATTTATAGCCAAGGCTAACTCAATAGTTCCTTCTTACCCAGAGGCCAAGCGCTGCTGAGCTACATCATTCACAGAGAGACATAGAATAAACACACCTAATATACAACAAGGATGCCGTAAGTCCAAAACAAAAGCAGGATTGCATGCAGAATTTTCAACTAACCTTTTTCCTCTACCACTCAAAGTAAAAGAGGAAGAACAAAGCCACTGGAATGTTCTCCTAAATTGTGACTTCTTTAAATGACTTAATTAATCAGTATATAAATTAATATCTTTAAGTAGATGAAATTTAATGTGGTCATAAACAGAACATTAAATGTACTATATTTTGTCATATATTACTAGTAAAGAATAACACTGTTAATTAAACAACTATCAACTCACATAAAACATATTTAGAGTATGGTGAGGTCAATTGTTAAAACACAAGGGAAACATCCTAAGTAATCCACATCTTGTCAGTTAGGTTTGAGCCACAATAAAGACCTTCGATATGGAGTATTTATTGATGAAAAACTATGTAAATTTTTCCATTTGAGAGGGAAATTAATAATGAATGTGTTTTGTTCTCGTTGCTTGGGTTTTGTTTTGCTATGTTGATTTTAAGGAGGTTGATTATTTCTTAATAAATGGTGTGAAATTTTGGAGACTGCCACCTGGTGAGTTGAGAGCCCTGGTTTCATGACTAACTGGCTAGATTTTCCAAACATTTATGTAACCGAGAAAGAAAAAAGAATGTAAAGAAAATCGAGGCATGCTTGCCATTTTCCTAAAAATAAATTGGTTTTCTTTAATAATTCTGTCATAAATATTACCTAAATTATGTGTCCTAACTATATATGTGTATATTTGTTATATATTGTTTTATATATCTTATATGTATATTGATTGCTTCATAAATATATATTTGTGTGTATATATATATATATATACACACATACATACAGATATACACATATATATTTTAGGAAACAAAAAATGTAGAACATGATGTAAATAAATATGATTGCGTAATCATAGGCTACAAATACTCTCTAGTGAAAAGTTAATCTTTTCCCTCAGAAACTGATGATAGAAAACTATAAAAACAGTAAAGGCATAAATAATTTTAACAATACTATCAACCACATTGACCTAATTGTTATTTATAGAACACTATACACAACTACTGCTAAATACACATTATTTTCAAGTGCACATGATATGTTCACTGAGATCAATTATACCCTTGTCCATAAAGTTTGCCTCAGTAAGTGTAATAGATTTAATTTATACAGAGTATGTCTTACAATGTAATTAAATGAAGAAATTAATAAGAATCAGAATTTGTATTTATTTCAAAATTTTATTTTTATTAATTTCCAAAAGTACTTGGAAATTACAAGACCTACTTCTAAATAATATATAGATCAAAGAAGAAATCATGAAGAAGTTTAGAAAATATTTTGAATAAAATTGAAAGGAAACTACAACCTATTGTGGGAGGTAGCTAAGTGAGAGCCTCGAGGGAAAAGTAGAACATTAAATGTACATATTTGACAAGAATAAATATTTACATTTAATGACACTAGTTTGCAACTTAAGAAGTTAGAAAAAGAAAAGAACAGTGAAATTAATATAAGTAGAAAGAATAAAACAATGTAAGTAGAAAGAAAAAATTAATGAAGTTAAGGACAAAAGCCAAAGACAGAGAAACCTGATAAATGAGAGAAAATTATCATAGCCAAAAGTTGGTTCTTCGGAAAGATCAACAAATTGACAACTTCCAGGCTAGAATTATTACAATAAAAAAGAGATACCTAAAACACAAATACCAAGAGTAAAAGGTAGGCTTTATTACAGATACCAAAACGATAAAAGGGGGTAATTATAATGTTATGCCAACATCTTCTACAACTTAGATAATATGAATGATGATATACAAAATAAAACCTATCTTACAAAAACTCTGTCAGAAAATAGAGATGAAAACATTTTCTAACACATTTTATGGTGCCAACACAACCTTAACTCCAAAAGCTAACAACAATTTTGCAGGAAGAAATTGCAGACTAATATTTCTCATAAAAATAATTGCAAAAATCATTAATAAAATATTATCCAATTATATCTAACCCTATATAAAAGGCATATGTTTTGACGAAGTGGAGTTTATCCCAGAAATGGAGTGTTTGTTTAACATTTGGGGGTCATTATATATTATTCATCAAGTAGTACAATAAAGAAGAAAAAAAAACCATGATTTTGACTATTAAAGAGGAAAAAAATATTTGACAAACTTCTACTCTCATCCATTATTTAAAAAGTCTCAGCAACTAGTCACAGAAGAGAACACCCTCTGCCTGGTAAAGGAAATTTATAAAGCCTTACAGTTAACTTATGGTTAATGATGAACTATTGAATATTTTCTTTTTCAGATGGGGAGAAATTTAAGGAAGTTCACTCTGGTCTAATATGATATTGAAATTTTAATGAGATAAAAATTAATAAAAGGCAGAAGATTCAGAAAGAAAGAAGAAATATGTATTTATGTATATAATTTTACATATACATAATTTTACATAAAGTATCTTGCACAACAAATAAAACAGAAACCAAAAGTAATAATTAAATTTAGCTTGGTTATAGAAGATTAAAACACAAAAATCAGTTGCATTTTTTGTTAACAAACAATTGGAAGATGAAGTTTAAAAACATTTTGTTACAATAGCATCAAATTGCATGCAGACATTAAATACTGTTGAATAAATTTAGCAAAAGACCTTCAATACCTGAGAATTGTAAAATATTACTGAAAATAATTAAAGAAGATCCAAGTAAATGAGCAGTCAACCATGTTCATGAGTCAGCAAACTCAGTGTTTTTAAGAAGCCTTTTTACTTCAAATTGATCTCTATATTCAGCATAAACCCGTTTGTAATCCCACCAGCCCTCTGTTTTTATAAATAACAGGCTAATTTTAAAATTAGATTGGAATACAAAGGACATAGGATATCCAAAGTAATCTCAATAAAGAATAAATTTGAAAAACTTACACTGAAGACTTTAAGACTTACTTTAAAACTAAAATAATCAAGACAATCTAATGCTGGCCAATGGAATAGAATAGAGTCCAGAAATAAGCCCATATTTCTACATTCCTTCAATGTTTGACAAAGGTGCCAAAGAACTCTATGGTGGAAAGGGTAGTTTTTCAGGAAATAATACTGGAACAACAAGATAACTATGTCAAAAAAAAAAACAAAACAAAAAAAAAAAAAAAAAAAAACGGCCAGGCGCAGTGGCTCACACCTGTAATCCTAGCACTTTGGGAGGCCAAGGCAGGTTGATTGCCTGAGTTCACGAGTTTGAGACCAGCCTGGGCAACAAGGTGAAACCCCGTCTCTACTAAAATACAAAAAAAAAAAAAAAATTAGTCGGGCATGGCAGCATGCACCTGTAGTCCCAGCTACTTGGGAGGCTGAGGCAGGAGAATTGCTTGAACCCAGGAGGCAGAGGTTGCAGTGAGCCGAGATGGTGCCACTGCACTCCAGCTTGGCAACAGAGCGAGACTCAATCTAAAAAAAGAAAAAAAAATGAAACTCAAGTTTTACCTTTCACCATACACAAAAGTTGATTAGAGGCAGTCCATAGGTCTAAGCACAAACACTAAAATGTTGAAAATACATATTTTACAATAAAATATAGCAGAATATCATTTTTGCTTGAGAGTATTCAAAGGTTTCTCAGACAAGATAGAGAACACAATAACCATGAAAGAAAAAATTATTAAATTGGATAATAAAACAATGAAAAATTGCTGTCCATCAAACAGCATAATTAAGAAAATAAATAGGCAAGACGGAGAGAAAATCTTCACAAAATAAATAGCTAAAATTGGACTGGTAGCCAAGATATAGTAACACCTTCTGTAAATCAATATTAAAAAAAAACTACCCAATGCAGTTTTTTTTTGAACGACACTTTCCTAAAGATGATACACAAATGGCAAAATAAGACTACGTAAAAGTTCTTACCATTCATCCAGATAATTGTATCCTATAATGACAGCAGAAGCCTGTGAGGCTTAGGGTGAGGACTGAGTGAGTAAGATAATGTACTCTATCCCGATAAAGATTTGGGCTACACAGATCTATGCATTTGTTGAAACCTATCAAATGGTACCTTAAAATTTGTAGATTTCATTGCTTGCAAATTTTATTCCTAAAATTTTTTTCTGAGTATTAAACTCCAGGTATTGGTATGTATGTTGCAGTACTTAGGGCAAAGTGTGCTGATTTCTGTACCTACACTGAAATGCTTCAAAACAGAACAATAGTTTGTAGATGGAGAGATGGATGAAAACATGAATAGATATGTGGAACAGTAAAATATAGATGATAGGATCTAGGAACAGATATATGGATGCTCACTGTAAAATTATTTCAATTTTCCTATACATTTGAAATGTTGTTATTACAAAATGTAAGAAAAAAAGCAAGTCCCTGATGAAGCTAATTGTGGTATTTTATTAATACCAGGTCTGTGAAGCAAATAGGCTAAGACTTGTTTTACAATCCACCTTTTTCCTCATCCCCAATGCTGCCACTCCAACATGAACTCACCTGCCACAACAATCTCCTGAGGAGTTCACAAAGTGTCCAAAGATTTTTCAAAAAACATACACATAAAATTGCCTTCCTTGTGCTACAAAGAAATAATGGCTTCCCATTTTTGAATAAAAATAAATAAAATGCCTTAAGTGTTTTGTTCCAGTCTATTGTTCTCATATCTGCTCTTGTTACTTTGACCCCTTTTCAGTTCCTTATATGCATGAACCCGTTCTCTGTGTCCTGAATTTTGCGCGTGAAATTATCCTACAGACCTCTAACCACAACCTTTCTTCCACTTTCTTGTGATTAACTCCCATTTATCCTCCAGGACATGGGCTAAGCATCTCAGCAAAGTCATAGTGGAGACCACATTGGTCTCATTATATTTTACAATGTAAATATTATATATTTTCCATGAAGCACTTATTGTGACTGTTATAAAATAATAGCTTGAATAATTATTCAGTTTTACCTTTTTGCCCATCTAGTTTGTAAACTTTATGAGAGATTAAGAAGAAAGATGGCTGTAGAGGTGCCGTACTCATTGTTGTACAATGTTTGGAAGGATTCAATACTACATTCCATTTTATTGTCGAATAGTATTTCATTGTATAGACAAACCAAAATTTGTTTCTCTATTACCAGTTGGAAGTTTAGGCTCCTTCCGGGTTTTGACTTTTATGAGTATAGTTGCTTTGAAAAGTTCTTTGGGTGGATACAGGTTTTCATTGCTCTTGGGTAAATAGCTGTCCTTCTAAGATAAGGAAATTCCCTTCTCTTCCTTATGTTCTCAGAAATTTCATTATGAATTGATTTGGAATTTTGTCAAATGTTATGCCTACATTTATTGAAATAATCTTAAGTTCTGTTGTTCTGTTTTGTTTCTTAGTAAGATCAATTACTTTCTTTTTTTTTTTTTTTTTGAGACGGAGTCTCGCTCTGTCACCCAGGCTGGAGTGCAGTGGCGCGATCTCGGCTCACCGCAACCTCCACCTCCCGGGTTCACGCCATTCTCCTGCCTCAGCCTCCCGAGTAGCTGGGACTACAGGCGCCCGCCACTGCGCCCGGCTAATTTTTATATTTTTTTAGTAGAGACGGGGTTTCACCGTGTTAGCCAGGATGGTCTCGATCTCCTGACCTTGTGAATCGCCTGGCTCGGCCTCCCAAAGTGCTGGGACTACAGGCGTGAGCCACTGCGCCCGGCCTACATTTTTTTAAGAGTTAACCAGCCCCGAGTTTCTGGGACAAACCCCAGGTGGTCATAACAGATATTGCCACATTACAATTAGAATAATTTTCTAATTTTTATTAGAAGCTGTGTCATCTGTAGTTCTTTTTTTATTATAATGAAGGTTATTTTGCTATTGCTATACTGGTGGCCTAATAGATGAGTTAAAACTTGTTTCTTTCTTCTATGTTTTCTTGAAAATTTTGTTTATAACTTTTGTTATTTCTTCTTAAATATTTAGTAGAATTCACAAGGTAAACCACCTAAGTCTTGAGTGTGCCTTGTGGGAAGGTTTCTAACTACAATTTCAATTTTTTAAATAGTTATGGAGTGTTCTAATGATTTCTCTCTATATAAAAATTTTCAGTTGATTCTAGAAATTTATGTTCCTCAAAATATTGTTTCATGTATTTCTCCAATTTAATTGAAGCAGGTTGTTCATAATTTCCCCCATGTCATCCTTTTAACATCTGAATATTTGATATGATATCCCTTATTTCATTCCTAATATTTTTGATAGATTGTGATTTAATTTGTATTTAAATTTTTTTTTAAATTTGCCTTTTAACTTTTTTACTTAACCTGAGTTGTGTTGTATAGTTTCCAAGTATTTGGAGACTACCTAGATATCTTTTTATCATTGATTTTTGAGGCAATTTAGTTTTGGACAGAAATAAGATACTTTGTATGATCTTAAAGGGTGAAGTTGGTTGATGGTGTTCCTTTGAGCAATTAACACACTTCTGAGGGTCTTTTGTTTGTTTGTTTCTGTTTTTTTGTTTTTGTTTTTGTTTTTTTCTTGCAGCGGGCAAAGGGAATAATCCAATCCTCTCTCCCTAATGCACCCTTTCAGCCACTATATATCAGTCTTTCTTTGTGTGGCTATCTCATTAAAATAGTGAGCCTCCGTAGAAGGCAGAGAAGATGGAAATAAGAATGAGAGTGAATATGAGAACAACCTCTGAACTTTTCTTCAAACTTGCAAGGTTACCATGCCATTATTCTCTGGTTCAGAGCAGCATGGGAAGTGACCTGGAAAATATTCCCCTGATATATGTTGACACTGCTGCCCTCAGACTCTCATGAACAGCCAAGGTGATCTACTGATTGTCTTAAAACCACGCACACACAGAAGAGCTCTCTTCCTCCTTTTCTCATTTTCTCGTTTCCTCCATCCTTCTCTTTCTTCCTCTCTTCTTTTTTTCCTTGTTTTCTTCCGTTTTTTCATTAGGAATGATCCATTCTGTACCTTCCGG
This sequence comes from Homo sapiens, assembly GCF_000001405.40. NCBI lineage: Eukaryota > Metazoa > Chordata > Mammalia > Primates > Hominidae > Homo > Homo sapiens. The sequence continues at coordinate 164,687,730 of NC_000006.12, forward strand.
GTGCTGTAACTTTAAAAAAGGCCAGAGAACAGTACCTGTTTTCAGAGTTTTCTGTTTGAAAAGAACACACACACACACACACACACACACAACACACACACACACTCTCTCCATAGATCTAAAGCATCACAAGAGAATATAATTGGATGACAAGACTATTGGCACACAAATTAATTGCTGAAAACTCCATGTATTATTGGATGGTTTGTAAGAAAGACTGGATTAAGTGTGATCATAGTTAGGTCTTAAACATATTTTTAATTGGCAAAATTGACGTTAAACAGAGATTACAGAAAAGGGCATGAAAAACAAAAACTGCTGAATAAATAAGAGGTACAGATATAATCATATGCATGACAGGCTGAGGAAATGGCAAAAACAAAAACAAAAGTGAAAAACAGTCTCTGCTTTAAAAGAAATTAAATGATATAAAATCCGCACATAATGAAGAACCTTTCCCAAAATATTTATAGTATTCTTCTACAGCAGTGGAATAGAGGATGGTTTTCTTCTTCTTTTTCTATATTTCTAAGTATTGTTCTAATGATCTGAATTAATTTCATTTTTCATTCACATGTTTTCTTAATAACATAAGATATTTATGAAGCCAATCTCACTTTTAAGAATTAATATAATATAGATAGTGTAAAATTGTTACTTGAATTTTGACTTCTCATGTCTGAGTTCACTCAGGGTATTTTCCTTTCAGATCTTTTCCATGTATCTAACTTCAATTTTATATTCAGATAAATACATAATTTTGTGTGATCAAAAGTAACTGAGTTCCTTCTATACTTATTATTCTAAAATATCAGTTGTGTTTTTTAACATAATCTCTTAGAAATGTTTTTATAGGTCAGGCGTGATGACTCATTCCTGTAATCCCAGCACTTTGAGAGGCCCTTGCTTTAGCTCAGGAGTTTGAGACCAGCCTGGGCACCATGGTGAAACCCCGTCTCTACTAAAAATACAAAAAATTAGTTGGTGTGGTGGTGTGCACCTGTAGTCCCAGCTACTTAGGAGGCTGAGATGAAAGGATTGCTTGAGCCTGGGAGGTCGAGGCTACAGTGAGTCAGGATTGCACCACTGCACCGCAGCTTGGATGATAGGAATGAGACCCTATCTCAAAAAAAAAAAGTTTTTATGTGTACATTATGAAGAAACTAAAATAATACACATTGCCATATACATTTATTAGCTTTGATTTGAGCAGTCCCTACTCTGCTGCAGGTCTCTTTTGATGCATGTTTAGGCTGCCTTTTACCTTTCAGAAATGGCTTATAATTTGGGGTCTGCTAGTGGTACTTTGTATTCCCTTGTTCATATTTATTCTTCTAAAAATGCCCTTCCCCTTATATCCAGAAATTATGCATGGGAGTGACTTATGGATTCATGAGCTTAGTCATCCACCCTGATCAATCCATTTATTACTTTCTGTGGAAAAAATGAGCTGCTTTCCATAATTTAAAAACGTTACTACCTAGGTGTTATTTTTATAATCTATTTTTCCTCAGGCAGTAAATTCAATCAAATAATGAACACACATGAACAAATGTCAGCTTAAGAAATTAACTAAAGGCAATTAAAAAAAGAATTCAATAATTCAAATTACATTCCAGAGGAGAAGAACAAGACAGGCACACATGATTTTGCCATCAGAGGCTTTTTTTTTTTTTTTTTTTTTTTTGCTTTAGCACTGGGCTTTACTCTTATTCAACTAATCTAGTCAACTTAACACAAGACAAAAGAAAAGCAGATTAGCCACTCTCTCCTGTTTACTTCTCTTGGAAGAGCATTATCTGTGCCTTAATTCTCTACTAAGTATTATTCTTTTTTTTTTTTTTTTTGAGAAGGAGTCTCGCTCTGTGGCCCAGACTGGAGTGCAGTGGTGCAATCTGGGCTCACTGCAAGCTCCGCCTCCCGGGTTTCACACCATTCTCCTGCCTCAGCCTCCCAAGTAGCTGGGACTACAGGCGCCCACCACCACGCCCAGCTAATTTTTTGTATTTTTAGTAGAGACGGGGTTTCACCGTGTTAGCCAGAATGGTCTTGATCTCCTGACCTCATGATCCACCCGCCTCGGCCTCCCAAAATGCTGGGATTACAGGCGTGAGCCACAACTATTATTCTTATTTTGACTATCATTTATCTTCAATTTGTTGTCTCTGTTTTAAATAAATCAAAATTCATTGTAAGAAGACTTTATGTGATTCCCTTTCTCCCTCTATTTAATTGGAATATCTTTGTTTCTCTAGCCCCCTTAAATAAAGTATTTGTATTGGAGGAAAAAAAGATTGTAAGTATATATCTTATATACTTAAGAAGTCAGTATTCTTATAACTCATTACTACGAATAAGGGGGCAGCTCTGGGCTTATGTGATAGTTTGGATTATTATTCAGCAGCTACTCAGTACCTTCTCCCCCAACCTGTGACTGAGAGCAGAGGAGGCTTTCTAGCCGTGTGATGTGGAGCTTGGCATTGCCTCTTGGTTAGGCCAATGGGATATTAGTGGGTGCGAGGTGAGCAAAGGCTTTAAGTAGACTGTGCTGTAAGGTTTTGCTCTGATGCTATAAAGATCTCCTACGGGAATACATACCCCATCGGGTGTATGCATCTTCAGCCTGGGACCAAGAGCAAACACAAGGATGCAATTCCTGAACCGCAGCTGAAGCCACATGTGGGAACCCACAACCTGGAGTAGGGCAACCAGCCAGGCACTTCCCACATCAGCCAAATGGCACTCACTCCTCTTACATATTCATGAATATGAGATGTGCTTCTATTTCTGTCATTAAGCTTTGGAAATGATTTGTTATACGTTATTTTGTGGCAAGTTGATGATTCATACCTTGTGAAGTGCATCAGGTACATTCAACATGTAGACACCTTAAGCAAGTACAAGTCTGTGGAGCAGAAGAGTCACAAATAATGGCCTGAGTTGAGAGACCTCAGAGATGTTCTTATTCTTTTCTTCATTTCCCACTTCTCAGACCTGAAGCAAAAAGAGAAAAGGAAGGGGCAGGCACACGTAACTTGCTCTTGTCCTACTGAGCATTGACAAAGGAAGGAAAAGACCCCAGATCACAAGGCAGGAGAAAACCATCTGAAGTCACAGGCGATAAGAGCAAGACACTCATCACAGAACTGGGATGGCACTGCTGCTCCTGGCGGAGATCCAGCATGAGGCAGCATCCATGCACATTTAATGCCTTCAGCTTCTGTTGTTGAGAAACGATGGAAGACAGAAGTTCATGGCATGCTTCATCTAGCTTAGACATCAGCATTGTCTGTTTGCCCTTCCACATCCTCTCCCATCTTTTCCCATCTGAAAGTGTTGAAGAGCCGATTCTAGGTGTCCATTAGGCTGGACATATGAGAATATGTCTGCTAAAGTGGGAGGTAAGTTGCTACCCTTACACTGACCACCACAAAAGAAGACATGCAGTCACTGGTGGGGCCTCTTCATATTAGTGTTAGATTAGTACATGGATATTTCTAAGAAGTTACTGGAGTAAGTAAAGCTGTTATCATTGCCTAATTCTACATTTTATAATGGGGTCCTTTGTTCATAACAATGAAATCCTTTAAGCAACTATTAAAATCCTTTGAAACAGTGTTCTGAGAGAAGGCTGTGTGGGAAACTACACTGTAATTAAGACTATCAGCATTATAAAGAGAATGCAACATATCTTGCACTTTTTAAAAAATAAAAGCTAAACAAGGGATATCATCTAAGCTATAAAGCCGTGAAACATAATAAAAGAGGAGCTTTTCAGTAGTCTGTGAATGAACATCAGTCAACAGGGTCCAATTGCCCTCTACAGACCACTCTACCAACAACAGTGAGAAACACATTTTTTTTATTATCCATGGAACGGTCAAAAGATAGATCATATTCTGGTTTATAAAGCAAATCTCAACACATTTAAAATAAGTCTCACAGAGTATGTTTTCTAACTGTAATGGAATCAAACTAGAAATCAATAATAGATAGACAACATGAAAAATCTCCAAACACTTGGAAATTAAATGCATACTTCTGAGTACATCATAGGTCACAGGGAGTGTCTCAAAGAAAATAAAGCAATGTATACAAATGAATGAAAATATAACAATCTGTGAATATATTTTTCTCTTTTATTTACTTTAAAAAGTTTATGATTTTATAATTATGACTGGGAAGTCATAATTAAACGGTTGTAAAAATAATAATGATATACATGGCGAACACATGCTATGTGCCTTTGTACTAGAATTTTTATGTATCTTTACTGTTTAATTGCTTAATGTATTTATTATTATAATTATTATAAGTATAATACATTACTATAATGATTATATTATAAATATAAATTATTATATTAGGAATATTATAATATTTATGTATTATTTATAATTTAGCTCTCATGTTGATTTTAGACCCACTTCTCTCTACTTTTATCTGCATACTAGGATATACGCACTATAGCTACTAAAAAAATGTGTTCATATTATCTGCTTGAGTTCAGAAGTTAAATGTGAAAAGGTTGTCATACCTGCATTTTTAGCAATTATTAGTCTAAACGCACTTTTAAGAAGTGGTCTCTTTACTTTTTTTGTTGAATCAGAATAACATCACAAAAAAATGTTACACCGCAAGCCAGGAAGTATGGTACTGTAGCAAAATAAGAGACCACTCTTAGGCCTTACTTATAACACTAGCAAAGATATGTTTATTTTTTTAATAGCTACAAAATAAATTAGTGAAAGAAAAAAGTTTAGAACATGGATTAAGTGTTAAAATAGAACTTTTAGGTAATTTTGTGTATCATATAGCTAACATCTGAGTGTGTCCTGAAATGAACCCAAGATATTATGGTAAATTGTGTTTGAACACCTTAAGTCATAGAAAGCTTACTCCTTGCTAGGGCAGTATATTTTTAGAAGAGTTTGAATTGTTTCAGGGTTCTTCCTTTAAGTAATCTATTTTAATTGAATTTCTATTATACCATTTTGTACTTCCTTAGTATGACTTCCCAGATTTTGGGTAAATCTTAGTAAATCTATGTGCATTTTTTCCACTGATTTCTTTTGTAGATTTTATCACTGGATCTGACTATTGTCCTGTTGCCTATGACCTCAGTCCTGGGCACATCTATTAAGAGCCTCCTGCTTTCCTATCCCTTGGCAATTGCTTCTCTCTGTTGAGACCCCCATTCCATTCACAGGGGACAGAGCCCTGTCTTCATTCCGTTCAGCTGCCCCTCTCACTGCTTGCATGGCTCAGGCCAGCTCTCTGAATGGGCTTGCTGCACTTAGCACACCTAAAAACACAAGAAAAAAAATGCCAGCAGTTCTCATTCAAAACTTTAGAGCTTATTTACTTCTGCTTTCATCTCCTCACGAAGCATGTCACTATGTCCTTCTCATTTTTTTTCAGTCCCAAATCTGCACCAGTTCCATATTTTACATATTATGACCCTTTGATTAGTATTGAATGTCCTCAACTGGAAGTTTCTTTAGAAATCACTTCAAACACAAAACCTATTGGTTAAGAAATAACAATGTAACAGAATAAAGAGTGAACTGTATTTTAAATTGATTCCTGGATCAGTAACAGCTAAGAACCATGGCAGCCTCAAAGAGTCACGAACTTCATGCGGGTAAAGGTGTTCTGAATTAGAATGACTCTTTGCAAAAGGCAAAGAGATAAATTATTCCACTTATTAATTCTGTACACAGAACTTCAGACAGCCCCTAAAGTAAACAAACCAAGTAGCTAGGAGGGAAATACTGAGTGTGAAAGAGTTGATGAGCTAATTACATAATTATTGAAAAATATTACAGTAAACAGTCAGCAAATCTGAAGGGGTTGAACTGTTTATCTGAATGCAACTTCTCATAGGATGTTACCAAAACAATAAAAGAGAGTTAGCACTGCTGTCTCACGAAACTAAATATTTCTTGCTTCATTGCTAGTCTTATTTAAATATATATTTTTGAATAATTTTCAGTCTCTTAGAGTGGAAATATGATATTTCATTGCAATTTGCGGGGAATTTTTTTTTTCAGTTTAAACACAGAAAGCATATTTCTCTTTGACCCATGATCTTAGGTTCACACACACAAAAAGATAAGATGTAGTGCATGATCTGGTTGCTGTGTGTGAATGAGGAGTACTTTTAAAATTAAGTGCATTTTGAATGTTAGACTGACTGCGTTTTCATTAAGGTGAATGCTATGAGCAGGGCTGTTATCCTTTTCGGATGCTAGGCTCACGCATTAAAATCTTACTCACGATGGGGTCTGGCTTCCTTGCTTTCATCAAATTGCTACCTCTCGGCAGGAACCCAGACAACCAGGGTGCCTGCATCACTCTGTGTGGTTTTCTGTAGGAAGCTCCCATAAAGGGTTGCATAATTGTGAATAAGCCTTTTGGAAGAAATGTGAAAGCTCCCATTGTGCTGAAACAAGGAAGGAGGCCAATGTTTGAGAGGAGGTTGCTGTAGTTTTGCCAAATTGTGGAAGGAAAATGCATGAGGCCAATTTTGAAGCCCAGCTGCATCTTTCTAAGTTAAATATATATATGGGTTTCATTTTTTAATTCTAGTTTTGAGTAAAATTACAACTCTATTAAGGTGGTGATTTAAAAGATTCTTTTACAATTGTATAAAATAATGTATCATGATCTATGTAACACACAATAAACACAACCACTTTTTTGCCCAAAGTTCCAATGAAATAAGTCTTTCAATGAATAGACTAAAACCTTTTTGACTGTGTGGATTCCTTGATTAAGTCTAGCAATGACTGCCCATTGTCTGCTCAATTCCATTTACCCACTGTTTTCTTAGCCAATTTTGTATCTACATGAAACCCAGACCTAGGCTTCAGTTAGGTAGTGCCCCGGGTGGTCCATCAGATATGTCAAGCCTATTTCAGTATTGACTGAAAGCTTGGTCTCACATTTTTCTGTGTGATTAGCATATCTTCTCCAACTTTTGTTTCCCATGAGACTGCACCATCTTCTGAGTCGAGGGCCAAACTTTTTTTACAAGGTTCCATCGCTTTCAGACACACGGGGACTGCAGTTCCTCAGCCACTCCGGGTTTGATCCCACCACTGGGTCTTAGCATGTGCTGCTTCCCACATTCACCAACGGGTGCCCCTGGCTGCACAAATCCAGGGGCATCATTCAAATGGAATTGAAGCCTCTGCTCTCCTATTCACTAGTATATGTAACTCCAAAACTCAGTTTCTCGATGTTCTTGAAATGAGATTATAGGACTTGCTTTACTTACTCTATAAGAGGTATATGTGGCTCCTTTGTTGTTAAAGTTCTTTGTAAAGTATTAAATTCTCTACAAGGGGGGTTATTATCATTAAAATGCATTTATTGTCTCTTCAATGAATTAAACCTCACTGATGGGGATGAACCGTGCTTTCTACTCCATTGAATTAATAGAAGTTTAATAGAAACACAAAGCACTGCAGATTGTAGGCACTCAATATATGTTGCCCAAACTAAGGCTTCATCATTTATTATCAGACCAAGGAATAAGTCATCCAGTTAACCAAATAGTTCTCAACCTCATTCACTGTGGAAAACACTAACCAATCCTATTGCCTGAATGCCTGGGATATAACTGGCAACTTTCAGCAAATCTTGAATCCTTCCAAGGCTCTTAGCTACAAACCCTGTCCTCAATAAACACAAAAACTACTTAGAGAGACAAGCATACAAAAGTGATTCATACAATAGTAGAGTTATATACAGAGACCTCCTTGCAAGATTGGTATTCAGCAATCAATGTGATTGTACTGGTTGTTAAAAATGTTGACTATGACACATTGCAGTGTGAACACACATGGCCGAGACACGGGAATCCCAGAAGCCTAGTAAGAGTAAAGACCAAGTGTCTTAAGCCTTCAAGACAGAAAGAATTATCCAAGAAACACTGGCGGCTCACAGATGCTATCTGAGAGTTGAAGGCAATATGCAATTGTAGCAGCCCTTGAAAATCTTTTAAAGTAAACAAACCATGCTTACGAATAATACATGACTGTTTGGCTGAATGCCTAGTGATTGCAGAACGTCTTTGAGGATAGCAGGTTAAGAGTCTGCATTTATTAAAAAATACAATAACAATAATAACAGTAATGAATCTTAACTCTTGTTTTTCCATCTTGTCTTTGCTTCAGAAATGCAGAATTGCTCACATGTTCTAATTATTGAAAAATAAAAACAGAAAATGGACAGTCTTCTAAAATTGCACACAAGAGTTTTAGGCTCAAATCCTTTCCCTGGTACACTAGCAAGGTTCTTGGGCTTGATGCCTCTAAGCTTCCCTACCTCCCACTTCCTCTTTGCTAAGGACGGAAATGCCTTTCTAAAACCGGATGTTTTGACTCAGGTCTCCCTCTTTCTCCTGAGGGTCAACTGTAAGAACTCGGATGTCACTCATGACTCTACTTTTCATGACGCCTCCCAACCCCTTGTTCCTCTTTTACTGATCATTGCTTTTTATTTGCACTTTATTCATTTTATAACACTTTGTAGCTTTCACAGGCATTTTGCAGTCATTATTTCTTAAGAGCTTGCATCAACCCTGCAAAATGGGCTGGATAAATAAAACAGGTGAGAAAATTCCCTTACAGAACAATTATGTAACTTGCCTGGCAATTCACCAGGCTTCTTCTACGATACACGTTTTCTCATTTTTAAGATTGCTGGTTCTCAGTATTATTCTTTCTGTTCAAATTCTCTCGCATCCTCACTTCATCTTGCTATCAACTTCTCTAGCCTGATGTCAGCTGATGACTTTCTTTCCTTTATGGAGAATAAGTACTCGTATAACAGCCACCTACTTTTTAACCAACACAACTACAAAAACAGTTGCCTGCATGTGCATCTTTTCCTTAGTTCTTCCTGTTGGGACACTCACCTTTTTATTGAAGGAGGAACCCCCCAACTTCATCCCCATAACTTGTGTTCTCCAAGGCTTTTGCCCTTGAAGCCATGGCCACATCCTTAGATGCTCAGGAGTTAAATATTGAGAAACCGAGGAGGAAGCCATCCCTAAGAGGTTAAAATCTTAAGCGGAGCTTTTGACATCCTCACAGAAATAAAGAAACAAATATTGGAGTTTGGAATCATTGGAAGAGGAAGGGCCCTGTAAACACCTTCAACTTTCTGTTGAGACCTCTGAATGGCATTTTCCTCTTAGTAAAAGCCGAGTAAAAATACACCAGCATAACACAGCATGAGATTCAGACTCCAAACTGAGACTCAGTCTCAGTTCCTGCCAGCAGAAAGAAAATTGAATCTAATACCAAAGAAAATAACAGTATTATAAGATATAGGAAAGGAAGAAAAAAGGAAACTATTATTTGCATGTGAAATAATTGTGTGCATAGAATTTTTTTAAATGCAGATAAATTCACAATAATTCATGTGTGAATTGAACAATGTTACCGGATTCAAGTTCAATATAATAATCAGTGACAGCTTTTATAGTAGAAATAAATAAATATATTTTTATGTAATAAAATATATCAATTAAAATAAATAAATATAAAGTTTTGAAAATTATTAAACATTATCAGCTGCATCACAAAAATTTACCATATCACAGTGAATCTACAGATGTTGAGCATGCATTTTGCTCTAAAATTTACAAAATGTTATCAGAATAGTTGAGGAAGACAAATAAATGAAATGATATATGGTTTCAATGGATTGAAAGGTTTAATGTTGTAAAAATGTAATTGAACTTAATCTGTTGTTTCAAGGAAATCCTAAACAAAATTCTGGCAGATTTTTGTTTTGGAAAAGTATGGAAATGTACAAGTTGTTTTAAACATTTTTATGGCAATACAAAAGTCCAAGATAAGAAGAGTAAAGTGAGAGTCTTATACTGGGAGAGATCAAGACTGACTTACACAGCTACAGTCATTAACAGAGTAACATATTGTCATATGGATAGACAATTAGAACAGGGGAACAGAAGGTCTGAAACAGTCACGCATTTATGTGGTCAGCTGATTTATACCAAAGGTGCAAACTAGAAGTAGGTAGAAAAACCAGCCTTTTCAGTAAAGTTTCGAGAAGATCCTTCACACACACACAGAGAGAGAGAGAGAGAGAGAGAGAGAGACGATATGCAAATGAACAGTCAACATATAAAAATATACTCAACTTTATTATAAACAAGGGGATGCAATTTAAAACTCTCATAGGATATCCCTATATAACCAATAGAGTAGCTAAAATGGGAAAAGACAGATACTACCAAATTTAGCAAAGATATGAATTAGTTGGAATCATCATATATTTGGTTGGAATATAAAATGGTACAACCACTTAGAAAATAAAGTTTGGCAGTATCTATTAAAGAAGAACATATGCAAATTTTTTACCACCAATTTCACACCTGGATATTTACTCAAGAAAAATGAGGACATTTTCTACAAAAAAGATGTTACAGAATATTTAAGCATTTGTATTGATACTAAAATAAAACCAGAAATAACCTAATGACTATCAAATTAGAATACACAAAGAAAATGTGTTTTATGGAAAAAAATTGAACACTACATAGCAATAAAAGTGAGTAGACGGTTGTACTGGATGACAAGAAATAGTTATAAATAGAAAACTGAGTAAAGGAAGTCTTGCATATATGAGCACGTGCTGTATGATTTCACTTATATCAAGTTCAATAATATGCAAAGCAAAGTAACGGTGATAGAAATCTGCAAGTTTCTTTCTTTTGAAAGGGATAAAGACTAGGAGGAAACTGGGGATGTGTTTCTAAGTTTCTTGTACTGGTGCATGTCTTGAAAAGGAAGGGAGGTTTCACAAGAGTTAGGCAATATCTACCTGTACACATTATTTGTGCATTTTTTCTGTATGTATATTATGCTTCCATAAAAAAATCACTTAAAGGCACATGGTCCATTATCTCTCACTGAAAAAACAAAATCACCCATCATTTCTCAAGCCCTCTTGACACTGCATCGCTTATCCATTTTTCTGTACAGCCAGACTTCTGGAAAGGGTACAAATGCACTTGCCTCTCACTTTCCCAACTCTACTTTGCTCTTCAATTTATATATTTATTCTCCCAGATTCCACAAAATGTTCTTTATAAGGACACAAATGAACAGGCCATGATTCCAGTTCAAATAGACACTGTTCTGTTCTCATCTTCGCCATGTCTCAGCAGCATTCAGAACTTCATAACTCTCCTGCTTTCTCAAAACCTTCCTTCTTTGACATGGGTGAGAGCTTTATCCTAGTTTTCTTCTCAAGCTTTCAGATTCCTGATTCACATCCTTCTTTATTGGCTTCTTCTTTGGATAATTTTTAAATGTTGGAGTTCATCAAACCTGTTTTTCAAAGTTTATCACCCCTCCAATTTCAACCAGCAACTTCATAGATTTCTAAGTGGGTTTACCAATTATGAGAACAATGTTTTGTTTTCCAATGTGAAGTGCATTTTCTTTTCTGTCCTTTTCTTTCTTTCTCTTTTTTTTTTTTTTTTTTTTTTTGACGGAGTTCGCTCTTGTTACCCAGGCTGGAGTGCAATGATGCAATCTCAGCTCACGGCCACCTCTCCCTCCCAGGTTAAAGCGATGCTTCTGCCTCAGCCTCCACAGTAGCTGGGATTACAGGCACATGCCACCATGCCTGGCTAATTTTTTTGTATTTTTAGTAGAGACAGGGTTCCACCATGTTGGCCAGGCTGGTTTCAAACTCCCAACCTCAGGTGATCCACCCACCTCAGCCTCCCAAAGTGCTGGGATTGCAGGCGTGAGCCACCGGGCCCAGCTCGTGCATTTTCATTTAATATTATTGTTGTTTCCTTTTTCAACTCACTATCTGCTTTATATTTGTCTTATCTGTTCTGTTTTTCTGTATTCCTCCTTCCTAATCTTCTCTTGGGATAATCAAGTATTTTTAATCATAATCTTTTCTATTAGTGATGTTTCATAATTTTTTCGCTTTATTATTTTAATTGTAAGTCTACATATTAAAATCTACCCTTTATTAGATTACTTAATAAAATAATGCTTTTTCTATGTCCAGAATCATGCAAGAATCTTACAGGAGTTTAGATCTTTTACCTCCTATGCATCTTCATGTTAACGTTGCCATGTGTTTTATTTCTTCCACACCTGTTGTAAATTTCAATAGATATAGTTATTATTTTTGGTTTAAACAGTAATTATATTTTAATATTTATTCACTAATGTATCTTTTCCCATGTTTATTTCTTCCTGAATTCTATCTTTGTTGTTCAGCAATTTGACCGTGGTGTACCTAAGTGTAGTTTTGTTCATATTTACTCTGCTTGGGTTTAGCTAAAAATATTGAGTATCTGCATTGATATATTTCATCAATATTTGAAAATTCTCAATTATTACATATTCAGTTATTTACTTTTGTTTCACTCTCCAACAGGAAGTTCAAAGCCTCCAATTATATATATATGACCATCTGACCATAGTCTACTCATTTATTACAGTTTTCTTAACTCATTTGTTTTATTGATACTATAATAAGTATATTTTCCATTGATATGTCTTTTGGCTTACTAATTTTATTCAATATTGTGTCTAGGCTGCTGTTAAAATCATTCAATGAGCTCCTAATTCTGTCTATTTCATTATTTTGTTATAGAGCATTTTTTATTCTTTTTTATAGATTCCAATTTTCCATTAAATTTTCCATTTTTACCCTATTTTAAATTTTTTCTATATATTTTAACAAATTTATATTTATTATCTAAAAAGTCATTGCCTAAGTCAGCTGTGGGGTGGCTTTCATTATTGATTTTTTGCTTGATTACATGTTATGTTTTCCTTCCTCTTTTAATTTCCTGTCATTATTTTGTTGGACCTTGCTTTTTTCTTTTATATATTTTTACAGTTTTCTTGAGGTGCAATTTGCTTACAATACGATTCAACCACAAATTATACAATTCAGCATTTTTTAGTACATTCATAAAATTGTGCAACCATCAAAACAACAAATTTTAGAACAATTTTAGCACTCCAGAAAGAAATCCTGTACTCTTTAGCTGTGACCAGCTCAGTCCCCTCATTCCCCCAATCCCCAATCCAAAGCAACAACTAATCTGTCTGCTTCTTGTCTCTATACATTTGCCAATTCTGGACCTTTAATTCAAATGGAAAAATAGACCATGTGGCCTTTGTGTCTGGCTTTTTACTTAGCATAAATTTTCAATGTTCTTCCACATTATAGCATGAATTAGTACTTAATTCTTTTTTACAGTCAAATAATATTTCACATTGTCTAGATATACTCCATTTTGTTTAACCACTCATCAGTTGATAGAGCAATATGATAATTTTGCAATCTTTGACTTTGAGCGTTTATGTTTTCTGTCCTTATGGGAAGAATACCATATTAAGTTGGCAAAGATCCTTTGGGTAATGCACTGGACTTGAGGACCAATGTAAAATTATAAGTAAGAAATAGATATTAAGTTCTTCCAAGCTGGACTTACAACAAATAATCAGGTCCTAATACATTTGTTATACCATTCAGAGGAAGTTTTTAAAAATTAGCTCTTTTTCAAAGTACTAAATAAAAAAATGTGTTGCATTTGAATCAGTCTTTTCAAAACAACAAGAATATTATTCCACAAACATATATGGAGCACTTATTTTGTCAGAGTCAGTGACCTTCAGGACTTTAATTTAAAAAAACAACTAACAGTCACAGAAGACCCATGAAAACAAAAGACAAACAATGGGAGGGATAATACATGAAGCACAAATGGTCAGTTTTTATGGGCAGACTGAAGGCCAGGTAGGTCAGAAGAATAAACTAGCTGGGTGTGCCATAAGCCTGCCCGGAGGCAAGCTTGCCTCAGTTCCACCAACTGCAGACTGGACTTTCAAGTCAACATTTGAACGACCCCTCTTTTCTCAGAAGAGTCTGCCACAGTTCCAATGTCGGGCTCTCCATCTGTGCCACTGGTGGACTGAGGCCATTCTGGAATCAGCCGATCTGGGGGTCCCTGTTTTCCTCGCTGTAAACAAAATGATGAGTTGGACTCAATATTCTGCAGCTTCTCCCAAAAGGCAGAGAATAGAACAGGAAGACTTCAGTATCTGGCATTTCTTAGACGTTTTGAATCGACACAAGTTGTATATATTTATCAAGTACAGCATGATGTTTTAAAATATGCATACACTGTAAAATGGCTTGGTTGAGCAAATTAGCCTATGAATCCCCTCATATGCTTATCATTTATTGTGGTGGGACAACCGTGTTTTTAAAACCTGTGGAGAAGGAAGTCAATGTTATTTCTCTGCAGATGTGGTTTTCCAATTCATTTATTAGGCAAATAGGATAAGAGGGTGATTAACTCAATACCATCATGAATTTCGGCATGTCCAGTTTGGATTTTAGCTTTAGTTAGTTTCAGCCACTTTTTGTTTCGAATGTTTTGAGGTTGAGTTTCTCTCTCGAGACTTTGTTTCCTACACACTGTGAACCTACAGGTGATTCAGTCTGTCTTTCCAGTCCATTCCTCCAGGTTCCTATGCCTCAGCACCCATAAGATATTACATGTTTTTTTAAAAAAGGACACACATTTGAAGTTCCTCCAATCTCAAACTATTAGGTTAGTCCAGGTAGCTTTTAAGACTTGGTTGCTCTTTTAAGTGGTCTTCTGTGCATGGCAAGCCTAATTCAACAAATTCTCTGAAAGACAATTGGTTTCCAATGATTTCATTCTACTTAAAAGAACACTTTTCTACCTAGAATTATAGTTCTTCTAGTCCTTTTGGCTTCTTTAGATTCCACATACATTTTAAAATAAATTTTAAACTGTGTTAGTTGTTCCAGTTACTGTAGCAAGAGTGATCACTTGCCTCTACCTACAATATCCTATAACCAAGAAAGCTCTATTGCCATTTATTTAATTTTATGCTAAAATATTCCTTAAAATGTTGTTTGTCTCTTTATCTCTCCCTCTTCCTTTTATTTTATTTTATTTATTTTATTTTATTATTATTATACTTTAAGTTTTAGGGTACATGTGCACAATGTGCAGGTTAGTTACATATGTATACATGTGACATGCTGGTGTGCTGCACCCATTAACTCGTCATTTAGCATTAGGTATATCTCCCAATGCTATCCCTCCCCCCTCCCCCCACCCCACCACAGTCCCCAGAGTGTGATATTCCCCTTCCTGTGTCCATGTGATCTCATTGTTCAATTCCCACCTATGAGTGAGAATATGCGGTGTTTGGTTTTTTGTTCTTGCGATAGTTTACTGAGAATGATGATTTCTAATTTCATCCATGTCCCTACAAAGGACATGAACTCATCATTTTTTATGGCTGCATAGTATTCCATGGTGTATATGTGCCACATTTTCTTAATCCAGTCTATCATTGTTGGACATTTGGGTTGGTTCCAAGTCTTTGCTATTGCGAATAGTGCCGCAATAAACATATGTGTGCATGTGTCTTTATAGCAGCATGATTTATAGTCCTTTGGGTATATACCCAGTAATGGGATGGCTGGGTCAAATGGTATTTCTAGTCCTACATCCCTGAGGAATTGCCACACTGACTTCCACAAGGGTTGAACTAGTTTATAGTCCCACCAACAGTGTAAAAGTGTTCCTATTTCTCCACATCCTCTCCAGCACCTGTTGTTTCCTGACTTTTTAATGATTGCCATTCTAACTGGTGTGAGATGGTATCTCATTGTGGTTTTGATTTCCATTTCTCTGATAGCCAGTGATGGTGAGCATTTTTTCATGTGTTTTTTGGCTGCATAGATGTCTTCTTTTGAGAAGTGTCTGTTCGTGTCCTTCACCCACTTTTTGATGGGGTTGTTTGTTTTTTTCTTGTAAATTTGTTTGAGTTCATTGTAGATTCTGGATATTAGCCCGTTGTCAGATGAGTAGGTTGCAAAAATTTTCTCCCATTTTGTAGGTTGCCTGTTCACTCTGATGGTAGTTTCTTTTGCTGTGCAGAAGCTCTTTAGTTTAACTACATCCCATTTGTCAATTTTGGTTTTTGTTGTCATTGCTTTTGGTGTTTTAGACTTGAAGTCCTTGCCCATGCCTATGTCCTGAATGGTAATGCCTAGGTTTTCTTCTAGGGTTTTTATGGTTTTAGGTCTAACGTTTAAGTCTTTAATCCATCTTGGATTAATTTTTGTATAAGGTGTAAGGAAGGGATCCAGTTTCAGCTTTCTCCATAAGGCTAGCCAGTTTTCCAAGCACCATTTATTAAATAGGGAATCCTTTCCCCATTGCTTGTTTTTCTCAGGTTTGTCAAAGATCAGATAGTTGTAGATATGCGGCGTTATTTCTGAGGGCTCTGTTCTGTTCCATTGATCTATAACTCTGTTTTGGTACCAGTACCATGCTGTTTTGGTTACTGTAGCCTTGTAGTATAGTTTGAAGTCAGGTAGCATGATGCCTCCAGCTTTGTTCTTTTGGCTTAGGATTGACTTGGCAATGCGGGCTCTTTTTTTGTTCCATATGAACTTTAAAGTAGTGTTTTCCAATTCTGTGAAGAAAGTCATTGGTAGCTTGATGGGGATGGCATTGAATCTATAAGTTACCTTGGGCAGTATGGCCATTTTCACGATATTGATTCTTCCTACCCATGAGCATGGAATGTTCTTCCATTTGTTTGTATCCTCTTTTATTTCATTGAGCAGTGGTTTGTAGTTCTCCTTGAAGAGGTCCTTCACATCCCTTGTAAGTTGGATTCCTAGGTATTTTATTCTCTTTGAAGCAATTGTGAATGGGAGTTCACTCATGATTTGGCTCTCTGTTTGTCTGCTATTGGCATATAAGAATGCTTGTGATTTTTGTACATTGATTTTGTATCCTGAGACTTTGCTGAAGCTGCTTATCAGCTTAAGGAGATTTTGGGCTAAGACAATGGGGTTTTCTAGATATACAATCATGTCATCTGCAAACAGGGACAATTTGACTTCCTCTTTTCCTAATTGAATACCCTTTATTTCTTTCTCCTGCCTAATTGCCCTGGCCAGAACTTCCAACACTATGTTGAATAGGAGTGGTGAGAGAGGGCATCCCTGTCTTGTGCCAGTTTTCAAAGGGAATGCTTCCAGTTTTTGCCCATTCAGTATGATATTGGCTGTGGGTTTGTCATAGATAGCCCTTATTATTTTGAGATATGTCCCATCAATACCTAATTTATTGAGAGTTTTTAGCATGAAGGGTTGTTGAATTTTGTCAAAGGCCTTTTCTGCATCTATTGAGATAATCATGTGGTTTTTGTCTTTGATTCTGTTTATATGCTGGATTACATTTATGGAATTGTGTATATTGAAACAGCCTTGCACCCCAGGGATGAAGCCCACTTGATCATGGTGGATAAGCTTTTTGTTGTGCTGCTGGATTTGATTTGCCAGTATTTTATTGAGGATTTTTGCATCAATGTTCATCAAGTATATTGGTCTAAAATTCTCTTTTTTGGTTGTGTCTCTGCCTGGCTTTGGTATCAGGATGATGCTGGTCTCATAAAATGAGTTAGGGAGGATTCCCTCTTTTTCTATTGATTGGAATAGCTTCAGAAGGAATGGTACCAATTTCTCCTTCTACCTCTGGTAGAATTCGGCTGAGAATCCATCTGGTCCTGGACTCTTTTTGGTTGGTAAGCTATTGATTGTTGCCACAATTTCAGAGCCCGTTATTGGTCTATTCAGAGATTCAACTTCTTCCTGGTTTAGTCTTCGGAGGGTGTATGTGTCAAGGAATTTATCCATTTCTTCTAGATTTTCTAGTTTATTTGTGTAGAGGTGTTTGTAGCATTCTCTGATGGTACTTTGTATTTCTGTGGGATCGGTGGTGATATCCCCTTTATCATTTTTTATTGCATCTATTTGATTCTTCTCTCTTTTCTTCTTTATTAATCTTGCTAGCAGTCTATCAATTTTGTTGATCCCTTCAAAAAACCAGCTCCTGGATTCATTAATTTTTTGAAGGGTTTTTTGTGTCTCTATTTCCTTCGTTCTGCTCTGATTTTAGTTATTTCTTGCCTTCTGCTAGCTTTTGAATGTGTTTGCTCTTGCTTTTCTAGTTCTTTTAATTGTGATGTTAGGGTGTCAATTTTGGATCTTTCCTGCTTTCTCTCGTGGTCATTTAGTGCTATAAATTTCCCTCTACACACGGCTTTGAATGTGTCCCAGAGATTCTGGTATGTTGTGTCTTTGTTCTCATTGGTTTCAAAGAACATCTTTATTTCTGCCTTCATTTCGTTATGTACCCAGTAGTCATTCAGGAGCAGGTTGTTCAGTTGCCATGTAGTTGAGCGGTTTTGAGTGAGTTTCTTAATTCTGAGTTCTAGTTTGATTGCACTGTGGTCTGACAGACAGTTTGTTATAATTTCTGATCTTTTACATTTGCTGAGGAGAGCTTTACTTCCAACTATGTGGTCAATTTTGGAATAGGTGTGGTGTGGTGCTGAAAAAAATGTATATTCTGTTGATTTGGGGTGGAGAGTTCTGTAGATGTCCGTTAGGTCTGCTTGGTGCAGAGCTGAGTTCAATTCCTGGGTATCCTTGTTAACTTTCTGTCTCATTGATCTGTCTAATGTTGACAGTGGGGTGTTAAAGTCTTCCATTATTATTGTGTGGGAGTCTAAGTCTCTTTGTAGGTCACTCAGGACTTGCTTTATGAATCTGGGTGCTCCTGTATTGGGTGCATATATATTTAGGATAGTTAGCTCTTCTTGTTGAATTGATCCCTTTACCATTATGTAATGGCCTTCTTTGTCTCTTTTGATCTTTGTTGGCTTAAAGTCTGTTTTATCAGAGACTAGGATTGCAACCCCTGCCTTTTTTTGTTCTCCATTTGCTTGGTAGATCTTCCTCCATCCTTTTATTTTGAGCCTATGTGTGTCTCTGCATGTGAGATGGGTTTCCTGAATACAGCATACTGATGGGTCTTGACTCTTTATCCAATTTGCCAGTCTGTGTCTTTTAATTGTAGCATTTAGTCCATTTACATTTAAAGTTAATATTTTTATGTGTGAATTTGATCCTGTCATTATGATGTTAGCTGGTGATTTTGCTCGTTAGTTGATGCAGTTTCTTCCTGGCCTTGATGGTCTTTACAATTTGGCATGATTTTGCAGTGGCTGGTACCAGTTGTTCCTTTCCATGTTTAGTGCTTCCTTCAGGAGCTCTTTTAGGGCAGGCCTGGTGGTGACAAAATCTCTCAGCATTTGCTTGTCTGTAAAGGATTTTATTTCTCCTTCACTTGTGAAGCTTAATTTGGCTGGATATGAAATTCTGGGTTGAAAATTCTTTTCTTTAAGAATGTTGAATATTGGCCCCCACTCTCTTCTGGCTTGTAGAGTTTCTGCCAAGAGATCCGCTGTTAGTCTGATGGACTTCCCTTTGTGAGTAACCCGACCTTTCTCTCTGGCTGCCCTTAACATTTTTTCCTTCATTTCAACTTTGGTGAATCTGACAATTATGTGTCTTGGAGTTGCTCTTCTCAAGGAGTATCTTTGTGGCATTCTCTGTATTTCCTGAATCTGAATGTTGGCCTGCCTTGCTAGATTGGGGAAGTTCTCCTGGATAATATCCTGCAGAGTGTTTTCCAACTTGGTTCCATTCTCCCTGTCACTGTCAGGTACACCAATCAGACATAGATTTGGTCTTTTCACACAGTCCCATATTTCTTGGAGGCTTTGTTCATTTCTTTTTATTCTTTTTTCTCTAAACTTCCTTTCTCGCTTCATTTCATTCACTTCATCTTCCATCACTGATACCCTTTCTTCCAGTTGATCGCATCGGCTCCTGAGGCTTCTGCATTCTTCACATAGTTCTCGAACCTTGGCTTTCAGCTCCATCAGCTCCTTTAAGCACTTTTCTGTATTGGTTATTCTACTTATACATTCGTCTAAATTTTTTTCAAAGTTTTCAACTTCTTTCCCTTTGGTTTGAATTTCCTCCTGTAGCTCGGAGTAGTTTGATCATCTGAAGCCTTCTTCTCTCAACTCCTCAAAGTCATTCTCCATCCAGCTTTGTTCTGTTGCTGGTGAGGAGCTGCATTCCTTTGGAGGAGGAGAGGTGCTCTGCTTTTTAGAGTTTCCAGTTTTTCTGCTCTGTTTTTTCCCCATCTTTGTGGTTTTATCTACTTTTGGTCTTTGATGATGGTGATGTACAGATGGGTTTTTGGTGTGGATGTCCTTTCTGTTTGTTAGTTTTCCTTCTGACAGGACCCTGAGCTGCAGGTCTGTCGGGGTTTGCTAGAGGTCCACTCCAGACCCTGTTTGCCTGGGTAACAGCAGCCATGGCTGCAGAACAGCAGATTTTCGTGAACCGCGAATGCTGCTGTCTGATCGTTCCTCTGGAAGTTTTGTCTCAGAGGAGTACCCAGCCGTGTGAGGTGTTAGTCTGCCCCTACTGGGGGGTGCCTCCTAGTTAGGCTGCTCGGGGGTCAGGGGTCAGGGACCCACTTGAGGAGGCAGTCTGCCAGCTCTCAGATCTCCAGCTGCGTGCTGGGAGAACCACTGCTCTCTTCAAAGCTGTCAGACAGGGACATTTAAGTCTGCAGAAGTTACTGCTGTCTTTTTGTTTGTCTGTGCCCTGCCCCCAGAGGTGGAGCCTACAGAGGCAGGCAGGCCTCCTTGAGCTGTGGTGGGCTCCACCCAGTTTGAACTTCACAGCTGCTTTGTTTACCTAAGCAAGCCTGGGCAATGGCAGGCGCCCCTCCCCCAGCCTCGCTGCCGCCTTGCAGTTTGATCTCAGACTGCTGTGCTAGCAATCAGCGAGACTCCGTGGGCATAGGACCTTCGGAGCCATGTGTGGGATATAATCTCCTGGTGCGCCGTTTTTTAAGCCCGTTGGAACAGCACAGTATTGGGGTGGGAGTGACTCGATTTTCCAGGTGCCCTCTGTCACCCCTTTCTTTGACTAGGAAAGGGAACTCCCTGACCCCTTGCACTTCCCGAGTGAGGCAATGCCTCTCCCTGCTTCGGTTCGCACATGGTGTGCTGCACCCACTGTCCTGTGCCCACTGTCTGGCACTCCCTAGTGAGATGAACCCGGTACCTCAGATGGAAATGCAGAAATCACCTGTCTTCTGTGTCGCTCACGCTGGGAGCTATAGACCGGAGCTGTTCCTATTTGGCCATCTTGGCTCCCGATCTCTCTCTTCCTTTCTTATATGATGGGGAAAAAAAGGTTTTCCCATCATTACAAGTGTATGTAAAATTTTCAAAAGATTTTGAAATATTTAAGCCAAATTTTAATTTGTTTTGATTTTGAATAGTAAATACATTTTGTTTAGAAGTAATGTGATTTTTTGGAACTCAAGGTAGGTAATTTTCTGTTAAATTTTAATAATTTCTAGGAAAATTACTTTAATAAATTTTTCCTCAGAGTAATACAAGTCATAAGTAAGAAATATAATTTCAAACAAATAAATATATTACAATGTTGTAAATGAGGGTGTAATACAATTTTAACAGATAATTTAATTCGTATGTTTGACATCTACTTTAATATTCAATCATAACAAACATTATGTGTAATAATATAACCCAATTCATCCACTAGGTATGTGATTTTTATTAGCTGTATCTGAATATAATTGGAAAATTGAACTGTTTGTGCTATGAAAAAAAAATGTTATTGTGATTCTTGAGTCCATAGTTTGAGTGGGGAAAGAGAGGACTATAACTGAATAACACATGAAGACCCAAATAAGTAATCTTCTTTAACATTGATTTGCTTCTACATTCCACATTTATTCTGAAGCTATTTCCTCATTTTATCATTTGCTATATAATTACCAAAGCTAGTGTTTGAATCTTTCCTTATCTGAAAATACCATTTGGGGAAGAAAATAAGTGAAGCCTTTTTCCAAATACCTGTTATCTCACCCAGCTCCAAATCATAGTCTTTCCTCTTCCTTAAGAGCATCCAATATTCTGCAATAAGAACCACTGTTAGCATCGCCCTTGTTTGTCTTTGTTCTGCCTCGATAGATGAATAAATCAGGTCAGACAACTTGTATGGGCACCAGGGACAGCCAGAGGGTGAATGAGACAAGTGATGGCATGTCCTTGCTTTGTGAAGACCCCTCATCAAATGACAACAAGATTCCTAGGGCCAGTGTGGGACCTTATGCCAGCAGGAAGGATGAACACGTTGAATAACTGGCCACACTGACAGTGAGGGAGGGCATCTCATCACCTCCAGCCTGTCCCTGGCAGCACCATCAGGTTTGTCTTTAGAGCCTTCTCTCCCTGCTCCTCATCTATCATCTTTACCCCTTCCACATTCTCCTGCCTTTGTAATATGTGTGGAGAAACTACTTATCAAATACCTCACAGCAAACTGTTGAAACAGAAGAGTTCCCTGATTCTCCTTGCAGAGTATGCGACAAGGGTGTCCCCAGCTTGGTCGCCCAACAGCTCAAACTCCTAGGGGGAGCATGCAGACAGGCAGGTGCAGAGGCCGGCAAGAGCGCTTTTGGGCTCTGGTCCCAGGACAGCATCTAGGAGAGGTTGTCTGCGACTCTTGAAGCCTAAGTGGGTGTGTGTTATCAAGCTCTTTTAGATTTGCCATCTGCAAACGGCTCATGTGTTAATCAGCTCAATGAACCCTCTGCCTTATCGCAAAGGCAGGGGCCAGTGTGACAGCCTTCTGCATCCCAAGTCCTTGTCCAGTGTACGGGAAGAATCAGATCACATGTGGGCTTGAAAGATGAGTGCAAGGTTTTACTGAGTGGTGGGTGTGGCTCTCAGGGAGATGGATGGGGAGCCGGAAGTGGGGGATGGAGTGCTGAGTGGTGGGGGTGGCTCTCAGGGAGATGGATGGGGAGCCAGAAGTGGGGGATGGAGTGCTGAGTGGTGGGGGTGGCTCTCAGTGAGGTGGATGGGGAGCTGGAAGTGGGGGATGGAGTGGGAAGGTGGTCTTCCCCTGGAATGGGGCCACTCGGCAGCTGGACTCTTTCCTGACCACCCCTGGCTGAACTCCGCTTGGCGTCCAGACGTCCTTCCTCTTCTCTCTTTCTCTGCCTTGTTCTGCATCACTGGTCTGCTGGTCCCGATGTTTAGCTGCTTGTGTGAGTGCCCGCTAAGGTCTCAATTTTACATGGGGGCAGGATAGGGGGTGTGGCGAGTCAAAAGGCAACTTTTTGAGCATGAAAATAGAAATCCTTCTCCTCATTTAGGGCCGGGGTCTTCAGGCTTGAGGGTGGGGCCTTTGCCAGGGTACAGCCCTATTCTACCCAGTATCTCCCTGTCTCCTGTCCGTATCACTGTGATGTGTATGTGCAAATTTAATCTACTGCATAGAACCACTGGTCAAGGTTTAAAAATACTCTAATCAGAAATCAGCCCCATCAGAGGTGGTAGCATTTAAAACTCACTGTAAAAAAGAATTGTAATTATTAATAACGTTTGAAATTAATTTTATTGGAGAAATGGTAATATTAAAGTTGAGCAAGAGTTCATGAATTTTATCTCAATTCAATACATGGCTAAGATTTAAGCATCCAGCAAACAGAGCAATGTAAAGCCATGGCACAGGGCTCAAATCCAGGCCCGCAATACTCGCCCCTCTCACTTCGCAAGTGACTCTGTCTTCTAATCCAAGAAAAGGTCATGCATAGTGATAACTGGAGTCACATAGGTCAGAAAGTGGGACTTAACATGCTATTTGAGCCCTTTTTAACTTGCTTGATAATAATGTTTTTATATCTTCTGTTTTTCCAAAGTTTATTGAAAGTCTGATTTTACAGTGAGTATAATATGACAAAAGAATATTTGAGTGTGTTATGAAAAATCAAGAAAAGATCATTTGGATACATTCTGAGAAGTTGCATTGTAGTGGGAATTATTAAGATATTATATTTCTTCTCAGTAAATAACTGGAACATTGAAAGAAAAGGTGTTCTGATCACTACTTAGAAAGTTAGGTTTAACTGTAAGAATTTTAGATGTGATTCAAATTGCAGGTTGAACTCTTTGAATACTCTCTGCTGAATATTCAGAACTGGTCCTAATCTGATCTGGCATATAAGAAGCTTTAAAATCATCAATCTTGTTTTCATAACAATAAGAGAAAGCTGAATAAACTGAAAATCAACAACTCTTCTTGGCTCCATGGGAGAATTGGGGTCACAGGATAAACCACTGCTCCCCAAATTAGAGACGAGATAGACAGACGGGGAATCACAGATTACCAGAGCAGAAGCCCAGGAGCAGAAACTGCTACTGGAGCTGACACCAGGGAGAATACAACAGAAAGAAGCGCATGTTTCAGACCTTATTTAAGAAGTCTGTAGGGAACCCAAGTATGACACAGGAGACAGAAACAAGGACAGAAGAGGAAATTTTTTCCTATGACAGACAGCTACAGAAAACAGCAAACACTGCCTAATTCACAGCCATTTAAACACAAAACCCCAAGCTAAAGCCTGGTTTACTTGAGTTGCTTAATGCAGCCATCATCATGTCTGACTATCAACAAATAACTACAAGGGCATATTTAAAGATTAAAGAACAATAACTGGAAGAGACAGAATAGGCACCACCACCAGACAAACATGGCAGAGTTTTGGAATGATCAGACCAGGAGTTTTAGACAACTGTGATTTATCTGCTAAGGGCTCTAATGGAAAAGTGAACAACGTGAAAAACAACAGATGGGAAATGTAAGCAGAAAGATAAAAACTATAATAAAGAATCAAACAGAAATGGTAGAAATAAAAAACACTGTAATAGAAATGAAGAATGCCTTGGAGAGGCTCAGCCGTAGACTGGATATGACCAAGAAAAGACCCAGGGAGTTTGAATGTAAGTCAGTAGAAGCTTCTGAAAGTGAAAGGCAAAGGCTAATTAAGAGATAAAACAGAATATTCCAGAACTGTGAGACAATTACAAAAGGTGCAAAACATTCATAATGGTAACACCACAAGGAGAAGAAACAAACAGACAAAAATTTGAATAAATTAAAAAAAAGTCTGAATAAAATTTGAAGTAATAATTATGGAAAATTTTCTAAAATTAGAGAAAGACACCAAACCAAACCAAATTGAGAAAGCTCAGAGAACAACAAGCAGGATAAATACAAATTATATAGAAAACCATTACATATATGTGTATATATGTAATTTGTGTATACACACACACATAGGTATAAACTGTAGGAAATCAAAGACAAAGATAGAATATTGAAAGAAGTCAGAGGAATGAGACATTCTACATATACAGAATTAGACTCCCTTTTATCAAACAAGAAAAAAGAGAGTAGAGAAAAATACTTAACTTTTTGAAAGATAAAAATCACCCATCTAGAATTAGGTATCTATCAAGATTATCTGTTAAAAGTGGCAGAGAGAGTTCCAGTTTTTGGTTTGGCATGTAAATAACTGGGAAGTTACCATTCTATCTCAACAACAAGTAAAAAGCTGAAGAAACTAAAAAATTAACAATTATTCTTAGGTCTTTAAGAGCAGTGAGGTCACAGGGCCACCTGCTGCCCCCACATTTGGAGAGACTGACAGGCAAATACAGAGAACGACAACTGACCAGAGCAGATACCCCTGAGCAGAAACCTCCTGATATGGTTTGGCTCTCTGTCCCCACCCAAATCTCATGTCAAATTGTAATTCCCAGTGTCGGAAAAAGGGCCTGATGGGAGGTTATTGAATCATGGGGGTGAACTTCCCCCTTGTTCCTGTGATAGTGAGTGAGTTCTCATGAGATTTGGTTGTTTAAAAGCGTGTAGCACCTCCCCATTCTCTCCCTCCTTCTCTGCCATGTGAAGACATGCCTGCTTCCCCTTCACCTTCCACCATGATTGTAAATTTCCTAAAGCCTCCCCAGTCATGTTTCCTGCACAGCCTGAGAAACTATTGAGTCAACTACACATCTTTTCTTCATAAACTACCAGGTAGTTCCCTACAGCAATGTGAGAACAGACTAATACACCCCCTCAGGAACCAATGCTGGGCTAGAGAAAACTAAACTGTAACTGACAAACTCCTGGAGGTCCATGGTGGACAAATTGAAGAAATTAGAATTTCAGGGAGACCGCGTCCCCGGGAGACCCTGACAGTTTTGTGAATTTGACCTTGTGGAGCTTTTTCAGGTTCTCACAATGAATATTGGAAAAAAGTCCCCTCAAGTTATCTGATAGAGAGAGGGGAAAAGAAATCATTTTAAAAATACACCAGAGTCTTTCGTTCATCTCACAAAGGCCTACCCTCAGGAGAAAGTATTTATTGAGAGCCTAACCTGCTGGGGTTTGTCAGAGCCTAACAGACCTGGGAGAAGTGTGCCAGCCAACTCCAGCCCATGCCAACCATCCTGTTCCACCTAAGGGTGGGAAGAGATGCACTTGTAAACTTCACAGTTCAGTGAAGCAGGCTTTCTGAAAGACTGAGTCCTGATTATAGTGCTATAGAAAGATTACCCCTGCTGCCTTACTACAATATTATTGAAGACCTGTTTACAGCAGTTCCTTTTACCCAGGATATCATGTTCAGCATTCAAGAAAAAATTACAAGACACTAACAGGCAAAAGGTAGTTCAAAGACACACAGTAAGCATCAAAACCAGGCTCAGATATGGCAGAGTTGTTGGAATCATCAGACTGGGGATCTAAAATGTCTGTGATAACTATGCTAAGGGTTCTAATCGATAAAGTAAACAGCCTGTAAGAATAAGTTGGCAATGTAAGCAGAGAGATGGAAATTCAAAGAAGTGCCAAAAAGAAATGCTAGAAATCAAAACACTGTAACAGACATAAAGAATGCCTTTGATGGGGTTATTAGAAGACTGGACATGGCTGAAGAAAAAAAAATATATGAGCTTAAGAATTGTATTAGTCCTTTTTCATGCTATTGATAAAGGCATACCTGAAACTGAGCAATTTACAAAAGAAAGAGGTTTAATTTGACTCCCAGTTCCACGTGGCTGGGGAAGCCTCACAATCATGGCAGAAGGCAAGGAAGAGCAAATCACGTCTTACATGGATGGCAGCAGGCAAACAGAGAGAGCTTGTGTGGGGGAACTCCTCTTTTTAACACCATCAGATCTCATGAGACTTATTCACTATCATGAGAACAGCACAGGAAAGACTTGCCCCCATGATTCAATTACCTCCTACTGGGTCCCTCCAATGACACATGGGAGTTGTGGGAGCTACAATTCAAGGTGAGATTTGGGTGTGGACACAGCCAAACCCATATCAAGTATATATAAATAGAAACCTCCATAACTGAAAAGCAAGGAGAAAGATACTGAAAAACAGACAAAAACAGAACAGAATAGCTAAGAACTATGGGGAAACTACATAAGGTATAAGTAATGCATGTGTAATGAAAATAGCAGAAGAAGAAAAAGAGAAAGAGAAAAGATGGAGAAAATAATTTTTGAGACAACAATCTGAGTTGTGGAAAAACTGAGTATTTCCTCAAATTAATGTCAGACACCAAACCACAGATTCAGGAAGCTCAAAAAATAGAAGCAAGATAAATACCAGAAAAACAGCAATGGCAAATATCATTTTCAAAGTACAAAAAATTAAACGTAAGAAAAAAATCCTAAAAGAAGCCAGAAGAAATACCCATCTTCACTATAGAGGAACAAAGGTAAGAATTACCTCTGATTCTCTTCAGAAGCCATGCAAGCAAGAAGAATAAAGAGTGACATATTTTAAATGTTGAAAGAAAAGTACCCCAACCTGGTTTTCTGTGCAGTGTGAAATTATTCTTCAAAAGTGAAGAAAAGCTTTCTCAGATTAAATAAAAATTTAGGGAATATATTGCCAGTAGGCGTGCCCTTCAAGGAATGTCAAAATAAGTCCTTCAGAGAAAAGGAAATAATATTATAGGTCATAAACTTTTATCGACTCAAAAAAAGGAAGGGCATCAGAACAGGAATAAGTGAAGGTAAAATGAAAACTCTTATTTTCTTATTCTTAATTGATCAAACAGGTAAGAGTTTGTTCAAAATAGTAACAGCCACAATACATTTAATTATGTAAGCTTATGTGTCTGTATGTGTGTGTGTATATATATATATGCATATATTTATATATAAGTGAAATTAATGACAGCATTGATACAAGAGAAATAAAAGAAAAAGTAGGATTATTTTGTTATTACAAGGTCCTCACACTGCCTGTGAACTGGTATAGTGTTTTTTAAAGTGGATTTGGATTGATTGTAAAAGCATATTACAAGCGCTAAAATAACCATTTAAAAAGCAGAAATGAAGTACAACTGATATGCTAAGAGAGGAGAGAATGGAATCATGTAAAATTCTCAATTAAAATCACAAAAGGCAGAAAAAAATGTAAAAGATTAATCTAGGAACAAAGAACA
This sequence comes from Homo sapiens, assembly GCF_000001405.40. Taxonomy (NCBI): domain Eukaryota; kingdom Metazoa; phylum Chordata; class Mammalia; order Primates; family Hominidae; genus Homo; species Homo sapiens. The sequence continues at coordinate 164,716,099 of NC_000006.12, forward strand.
AAGCAACAAATGGTAAACAGTAAGAAATCTGGTACATTTATCAGCATCACGTTGAATATCAATAGTACAAACATACCAATTAAAAGAATAAAAGACAGAGGTGGTCAGAGTAGATTAAAAAACAAGACCCAACTATACGTTTTCTACAAGAAACTCACTTTAAATACAGACACATATAAATTAAACATAAATGGATGGAGAAAAATATACCATGTTGGTGCTAATTAAAAGAAAGTAGAAGTAGCTATATTAATTTTAGACAGAGCTGACTTCATAACAAGGGAGGTTATCAGTGATAATGAGGGGCATTACTTGGTGATAAAGAGGTGAATTTTCTAAGATGACATAATAGTCCTTAATGTATATGGGCCTCACAACAGAGCATCAAAACAGATGAGGCAAAAACTGATAGACCTGCAATAAGAAATAGATTAATCCACTTTTATTGTTGGGAACTTCAGCACCCATCTATCAGAAATGGACAGAGCCAGCAGGTAAAAATTCATCCAGTACATTGTTGAACTCGAGATCACCACCAATCAACTGGATATTAGGGACATCTAACCACTACTTTTCCCAACAAGAGCAGAATAGTTATTCTTCTCAAGCTCACATGGAACATTCACCAATATAGACCTCTTATTAGGATACAAAGCATACCTTAATAAATGTAAAAGAATTGCAGTTTTACAATGCCTGCTCTGATACCACGATGGAATGAAAATAGGAATCAACAGCAGAAAAATAACTGAAAAATCCCAAAATACTTAGAAAATTAAACAACACACGTTTAAATAATGTGTGGGTCAAAGAAGAAATTGCAAGAGAAGTTGTAAAATATTTTGAACTAAATGAAACTGAAAACACAACTAGTCAAAATGTGATGTATAGAGAAAGCACTTCTTAGAAGGAAAATTATATTATTGAATGTATAAATTTGAAAAAAAGATCTAAAATTAACCACCTAATCATCCAGCTTCAAAAATTAGAAAAAGAAGAGTGAATTAAATAGAAAGTCAGCAAAGAAAAGAAATAAAAAAAAAACAGAACATAAATCAGTGAAACTGAAAATAAGAAATCAATAGAGAAAATCAATGAAACCAAAAGATAGTTATTTGAGAAGATCATTGTAATTGATAAGGCTCTAGCCAGGGTAATTATAAAAAAAAGAGAACACTAACTATTGTATGAAAAGTCAAAGATAAAATATCACTACATAACCCATGCGCATTAAAAGGATAATAATTTTAAAAATACTGTGAAAAAATATATTCCCACAAATTCGATAACCTAGATGAGACAGACAAATCCCTTAAAAGATACAATCCACCAAACTCTTACAAGAACAAATAAACAATCTGAATAAGCCTATATCTATTAAAGAAATTGAATCAATAATTTATAACCTTCCTAAACTGAAGTCACCAGGCCCACCTGAGTTCACTGGTGAATTCCACCAAACATTTAAACCAGAAATTATACTGATTTTCTACATTCTCTTTCAGAAAAAGGAAGCAGAGTAAATACTTCCTAACTCATTCTATGAAACTAGAATTACCTGAATATAAAAACCAGACAAAGACATTACAGGAAAAGAAAACTACAGATGAATATCTATCATGAATATAGATGCAAAAATTCTCAATGAAATATTAGCAAATCATATCCAAATATATATATATAAATATGCATTACAACCAAGTGAGGTTTATTCCAGGTCTGCAAAGCTGATTAAACATTAGAAAATAATTTAATATAATTAATCACATCAATAGGATAAAGAAGAAAAATTATATCAATAGATGTAGAAAAATGCATTTGATAAAACCAACAGCCATTCATGGTTTAAAAAAAAACCCTCAGTAAACTAGGAATAAAGGGGACCTACCCAACGTGATAAAGAATAGAAAAAATCCTACAAATAACATGATACTTAATGGTGAGAAACCTGAAGTTTCCCTACTGAGATCAGAAACAAGGCAAGGTGGGGGTTTCCTCTTCCCACTGCTTTTCAACATCACACTGGAAATCCTAGCTAATGGAATAAGGGGGAAAAAGGAAGTAAAAGGTATACAGAATAGAAAGAAAGAAACATGAAAAATAGCTCAACATCACTGATCATTAGAGAAATGCAAGTCAAAACCAAAATGAGATACCATTTCATTCCAGTCAGAATGGTGATTATTAAAAAGTCAAGAAAAAACAGATGCTGGGGAGGTTGAGGAGAAATAAAAACCCTTTTACACTGTTGGTGGGAATGTAAATTAGTTCAACCACTGTGGAAGACAGTGTGGCAAATCCTCAAAGATTTAGAACCATAAATACTATTTGACCCAGCAATCCCATTACTGGGTATGTACTCAAAGGAATAAATCATTCCTTTATAAAGATGGATGCATGCGTATGTTCATTGCAGCACTATTCACAATAGTGAAGACATGGAATCAACCCCAATCCCCATCACTGAGAGACTAGATAAAGAAAATGTGGTACATATGCACCATGGAGTATTATGCAGCCATAAAAAAGAACGAGATCATGTCCTTTGCAGGGACATGGATGAAGCTGGAAGCCATCATCCTCAGGAAACTAACTCAGGAACAGAAAACCAAACACCACATGTTATCACTTGTAAGTGGGATCTGAGCAATGAGAACACTTGGACACAGAGAGGGGAACAAAACTTACTGGGGCCTGTCAGGGGAGGGTTGCGGGGTGGGGGGCAGTGGAGAGCATTAGGGAAACCTGCATATCCTGCACATGTAACCTGAAATTTAAAAAAAAAATAACTATTGAAAAAAAAGAAGAAAAATAAAACCATTTGTTCACAGATGACATGGTGGTCTATTATAAAAATCTAAAAGGATCTGCAAAGACAGACAAATACTTGTAACTAATAAGCAATTATGGCAAGGTTGCAGTATCCAAGGTTAATACGCAAAAGTCAATCACTTTCCTATATACTAACAATGAATAAGTGGAATTTGAAATTAAAAACATAATACAATTTACATTAGCACCCCCTCAACTATGAAGCACTTAGGTATAAATCTACCAAAATATATACAAGACCTATGTGAGAAAAAGTAAAACCCAGATGAAATAAATCAAATAACTGAATATAGAGATATTCCATGTTCATAAACAGGAAGTCTCAATATTGTTAAGATGTCAGTTATTCTAACATGATCTGTAGATTTAACATGATCTGGTCAAAATTCCAGTAAGTTATTTTGTGGATACTAACAAACTTATTCTAAAGTTTATATGAAGATGAAAACAATCCTGACTAACCAACACAGTATTGAAAAAGAATAAGTCAGAGGACTGACATTACCTGACTTCAAGCCGTACTATGGTCAACCTATACTAATCAAGACAATTTGATATTTGTGAAAGAATAAACAAATAGATATCTGGAACAGAATAGAGAAACAATGTGATATTTGTGAAAGAATTAACAAATAGATCTCCGGAACAGAATAGAGAGTCTAGAAATATACCCACGTAAATAAAATCAACATCTTTGATAAAGTAGAAAAGGTAATACATTGAATAACAGATTGTCTTTTCAATAAATGATATGAGAATAAATGAACATCCACATGCAAAAAGTGAATGTAGACACAGACATTATACTTGACAAAAATTAACTATAACTAAATTTCCTAGAAGATATGACAGTAGGAAATCTAGATGACCTAATGTTTGTTAATGACTTTTAAAAACAGCACCGAATGAGTGAAAAATTGATAAAGTGGGCTTCATTAAAATTAAAAATTTCTTCTTTGCAAGACAGTGAGAAGACAGGCCACAAACTGGCAAAAACTATTTTTAAAAAACGTATCTTCTAAAGCACTGTTATCCAAAATATACGAAGAATACTTAAAACCCAACAATAAGAAAATGAAAAACCCAATTAAAAAATGGGGCAAAGACCTTAAGAGATACCTCACCAAACAAAGTATATAGATGGCAAATAAGCATATGGAAAGGTATTCTGCGTCATGTGTCATCAGAGAAAGGCAAATCAGTATGCAGCTGCGTTCAATTTTATGGTATTTTGTTGAAGATAGTTTGTGATTCATAAGGCATATCATTCTGTATATTTTTTGTGTTATTTGTCTGGCTTTGGGATGACAATAATGACCTCATAAAATAAACTAGATTATTTTATCTTATATTTTTTAGAATCGTTTGAAAGATTAGTGTTAGTTCTTCCTTAATCATTTGGTAGAATTCAACAGTAAAGCTAACTGGACCGGGACTTTGTGTGGGTGTATGTGGAGGAAGATTTTAATTAGTCATTACATCTGTTTTATTTTTGTAAGTCTAATGGGGTTTTCTATTTTTTAGTTAACTTTAGTAGTTTGTGTCTTTCCAGAAATTTGTCCGTTTATTTGAAGTTATCTAATTTATTAACAAGCAATTGTTCAGAATAATAACTTAATATCTCTTTATTTTTTTAAGGCTGGTGGTAATTGCAACTGTTTCATTTTTGATTTTACTAATTTACGTCTTTTTTTTTCTGGGTTTTCTAGATAAAGGTTTGTCAATTTTGTTGATCTTTTCAAAATACTAACTTTTGGTATCATTGATTTTTCTCTATTGTTTTCGATTTCATTTATTTACAACCAATTATTTACTATTTCCTTCTTTTTGCTTGCCTTGGGTTTAGCTTCTTCCCTTTTTCTAGTTTATTCAGATACAAAATTAGGTTATTCATTTAAGATATTTATTCTTTTTTAATATAGATATTTACAGCTATATATTTCCATCTAAGCATTACTTTGCATCCTGTAAGTGTATCTTGTGTTTTCGTCTTCATTAACATAAAAATATTTTTAAATTTCTTTTGTGATTTATTCTTTGATCCATTTGTGATTTAGCATTATGTTAACTTTTACATATTGTGAATTTCCAAAAATTTTTTTGATCTCCAGTTTTATTCCACTGTGGCCAAAGAGCAAATTTTAATGATTTTAGTCCTTTTTAATTGGTTGAGACTTGTTTTATGGCTTAATTTATGGTCTATGTTGTAGAATGTTCAACATTAAATGTTCAAGTCAAAGAGAATATGTAGTCTTTTATTTTGAGGTGAAATATTCTATCAATGGCTCATAGGTCTAATTGTTTCTAGTGTCATTCATGTGTTCTGTTTCTCCATTGATCTTCTGTTTGGTTTTTCTATTTATTATTGAAAGTAGGGTATTGAATTCCCTAACACCTACTGATGAATAGCTTATCTTCCTTTCATTTCTGTCAGTTTTTTCTTCATGCATTTTGGGCCACTGTTTTTAAATGCATATATGTTTTAAATTTTTATATTATTGAAGATTTGGTCCATTTATCTTCATAAAATATCCTTCTTTGCTTCTAGCAACAATTTTCGTCTTGAAGTCTATTTTATCTGGTTTTAAACCACTCCAGCTCTGTTTGCAAGGTATATCTTTTCCTTTCAACGTATCTGTGTCACTAAATCTAAAGTATGTCTCTTGTAGATAGCATAACGGGAGTGGTTTTCTTTTTAATCCATTTTGGCAATCTCTGCCTATTCATTAAAGGGTTTAATCCATTTACATTTAATATAATTAACCAAGATTGTCTATACGTGTTCCATTCTGCTGTTTGCCTTCAATATGTCTTATATCTTGTTTCATTTCCATTCTTTTATGTTAAATAGATATTTTCCATTGAAGCATTTTATTTCCTCATCATTTATTTTGCTATATTTTTAGATTGTTTTAGTATTAGCTTGTTTACTATAATTAAGACTTTAATTTAAAACAACATAGTTTTTTTCTTTGCCAACACAAATTGACTTTTGTGTTCCTACAGTTAATTTTTTATTTCAGATATTGTACATTTCAACTACAGAATTACCACATTTTAAAAATAATTTATATGTCTTTTTTGATATTCTATTTTTGGTAAGATGCCATTTTATTAGTTCTTTAGGAAATTTTTCCCTTAGCATTTGAAAATATTTAAAATATATGCTTTAAAATTATTTGTATAGTAAGTCCAAAGCTTGAGCCTTCTTAGGGACAGTTTCTACTTTCTTCTTTTGTATGAACCATATTTTTTTGTTTCTTTGATATCTCATAAATTTTTGTTGAGACTGGACTTTCTACATAATATATAGCAACTTTGGTAATCATATCACTTTATTCTCAGGATTTGTTTTTGTTGTTGGTTATTGTTGTTCTTTTTCTTATTGCTATTGGTTCTAACTTATGTAATACATATTTTTTTATTTGTATCCACTGAAGCTGACTTAATTGTCAGATGATTAGACAGAGAACTGTCCAGAATCAGCTTTTGCTGGGGGCTCTGTGTATATATTGAGGCACACCTTCAATTGTCAGGCATACATACAGTTTACAATTCTACTTGGGTTTTCACTGTTTTTTTGCACAAGACCTCAAGGTCAACTACAGGTGAAAGCTTAGGGCTTCCTTGGGTCTTTTCCAGGAGTGTACACAGCCTTGTTCAAGTGCAATGCTGAACAAGTGATTATGGCCTTCTAGATTCTTAAGAATATTTTAGAGCTTTTTAAAGCCCCCTGTGAACATCTCATCTCACTCTCCTTTTTCTTTTAAGCTTTTTGTTCAGTTCATTGCTTTTCCCAATTGTTATTACCTATGCTGGCAGCTGCAATATTAATTTAATTGCTGTTGGTTTTTTCCAACAAACACCCCCAGGAACAAAAGACTGTTTCCACAGAGTGAGCTATAAGTCAGTTCAAATAAAGACAAATCTTATGAGTGTGGCTTTCCAAAGAAATACCTGACAGTCAAATAATAACACATATATAGGAACTGGGATTTGTAGAAGGTCTAGCCCATTTCTGTCCCATCATGAGGCTGTTTGGCTGCTGGTTTTCACTATGTCTGAGGACTACTAATTTTCAAGCCTACTCTGAGACTTGGGAGAAAATATGGGACTATGGCTGATAAAAATACAGCAAAGTTCACTATTCTTAAGAAAATATAAATTTTTTTTATTATTATACTCTAAGTTTTAGGGTACATGTGCACAATGTGCAGGTTAGTTACATATGTATACATGTGACATGCTGGTGCGCTGCACCCACTAACTCGTCATCTAGCATTAGGTATATCTCCCAATGCTATCCCTCCCCCCTCCCCCCACCCCACCACAGTCCCCAGAGTGTGATGTTCCCCTTCCTGTGTCCATGTGTTCTCATTGTTCAATTCCCACCTATGAGTGAGAATATGCGGTGTTTGGTTTTTTGTTCTTGCGATAGTTTACTGAGAATGATGATTTCTAATTTCATCCATGTCCCTACAAAGGACATGAACTCATCATTTTTTATGGCTGCATAGTATTCTATGGTGTATATGTGCCACATTTTCTTAATCCAGTCTATCATTGTTGGACATTTGGGTTGGTTCCAAGTCTTTGCTATTGGGAATAGTGCCGCAATAAACATACGTGTGCATGTGTCTTTATAGCAGCATGATTTATAGTCCTTTGGGTATATACCCAGTAATGGGATGGCTGGATCAAATGGTATTTCTAGTTCTAGATCCCTGAGGAATCGCCACACTGACTTCCACAATGGTTGAACTAGTTTACAGTCCCACCAACAGTGTAAAAGTGTTCCTATTTCTCCACATCCTTTCCAGCACCTGTTGTTTCCTGACATTTTAATGATTGCCATTCTAACTGGTGTGAGATGATAGCTCATTGTGGTTTTGATTTGCATTTCTCTGATGGCCAGTGATGGTGAGCATTTTTTCATGTGTTTTTTGGCTGCATAAATATCTTCTTTTGAGAAGTGTCTGTTTATGTCCTTCACCCACTTTTTGATGGGGTCGTTTGTTTTTTGCTTGTAAATTTGTTTGAGTTCATTGTAGATTCTGTATATTAGCCCTTTGTCAGATGGATAGATTGCAAAAATTTTCTCCAATTCTGTAGGTTGCCTGTTCACTCTGCTGAGAGTTTCTTTTGCTGTGCAGAAGCTCTTTAGTATAATTAGATCCCATTTGTCAATTTTGGCTTTTGTTACCATTGCTTTTGGTGTTTTAGACATGAAGTCCTTGCCCGTGCCTATGTCCTGAATGGTAATGCCTAGGTTTTCTTCTAGAGTTTTTATGGTTTTAGGTCTAACATTTAAGTCTTTAATCCATCTTGAATTAATTTTTGTATAAGGTGTATGGAAGGGATCCAGTTTCAGCTTTCTACATATGGCTAGCCAGTTTTCCCAGCACCATTTATTAAATAGGGAATCCTTTCCCCATTACTTGTTTTTCTCAGGTTTGTCAAAAATCAGATAGTTGTAGATATGTGGCATTATTTCTGAGGGCTCTGTTCTGTTCCATTGATCTATATCTCTGTTTTGGTACCAGTACCATGCTGTTTTGGTTACTGTAGGCTTGTAGTATAGTTTGAAGTCAGGTAGCATGATGCCTCCAGCTTTGTTCTTTTGGCTTAGGATTGACTTGGCGATGCGGGCTCTTTTTTGGTTTCATATGAATTTTAAAGTAGTTTTATTCCAATTCTGTGAAGAAAGTCATTGGTAGCTTGATGAGGATGGCATTGAATCTATAAATTACCTTGGGCAGTATGGCCATTTTCACGATATTGATTCTTCCTATCCATGAGCATGGAATGTTCTTCCATTTGTTTGTATCCTCTTTAATTTCATTGAGCAGTGGTTTGTAGTTCTCCTTGAAGAGGTCCTTCACTTCCCTTGTAAGGTGGATTCCTAGATATTTTATTCTCTTTGAAGCAATAGTGAATGGGAGTTCACTCATGATTTGGCTCTCTGTTTGTTATTGGTGTATAACAATGCTTGTGATTTTTGTACATTGATTTTGTATCCTGAGACTTTGCTGAAGCTGCTTATCAGCTTAAGGAGATTTTGGGCTGAGACAATGGGGTTTTCTAGATATACAATCATGTCATCTGCAAACAGGCAAAGAAGTTAAAAACTTTGAAAAAAATTTAGGCGAATGTATATCTAGAATAACCAATACAGAGAAGTGCTTAAAGGAGCTGATAAAGCTGAAAGCCAAGGCTCGAGAACTACGTGAAGAATGCAGAAGCCTCAGGAGCCGATGCGATCAACTGGAAGAAAGGGTATCAGCGATGGAAGATGAAGTGAATGAAATGAAGCGAGAAGGGAAGTTTAGAGAAAAAAGAATAAAAAGAAATGAACAAAGCCTCCAAGAAATATGGGACTATGTGAACAGACCAAATCTACGTCTGATTGGTGTACCTGAAAGTGACGGGGACAATGGAACCAAGTTGGAAAACACTCTGCAGGATATTATCCAGGAGAACTTCTCCAATCTAGCAAGGCAGGCCAACATTCAGATTCAGGAAATACAGAGAATGCCACAAAGATACTCCTCGAGAAGAGCAACTCCAAGACACATAATTGTCAGATTCACCAAAGTTGAAATGAGGGAAAAAATATTAAGGGCAGCCAGAGAGAAAGGTCGGGTTACCCACAAAGGGAAGCCCATCAGACTAACAGCAGATCTCTTGGCAGAAACTCTACAAGCCAGAAGAGTGTGGGGGCCAATATTCAACATTCTTAAAGGAAGAATTTTCAACCCAGAATTTCATATCCAGCCAAACTAAGCTTCATAAGTGAAGGAGAAATAAAATACTTTACAGACAAGCAAATGTTGAGAAAATATAAATATTTTTATGAAGAAACATTTTCTGGAATTTTGCAAGCCTTTAGTTCATCTCCAGAATTTTGAAAAAGTTGATTTTGATCATTATTGCTGGTGTGCTTGTTGGTTTTTAAGCTAAGAGAATTTTTGGACTTTCTACAATGTGTATCATTGCTGTTAATAAATAAGTATATAAAATAATGACCAGGAAAATCTATAGTATTCTTATATAATAATAGAATGTTTCGAACTTTTCTAAAGTATTTGAATCAACGTTTTAAAGTATAGAATCTTTAAGTCCAGAAAAAAAGAAAGCCAAGGACTAACTAGTTTATTTATATTTAGAGCTCTACGTTAGATATAACCCAACGGTGATTGGCACATATCATTTGCCCACCTCCATGCTCATGCCTAGGGACCAAAGTTTTTATCTTCTTGTGGGTATTGATGTGGAGAGCAGGCCAATGCTGGAAAGGAAGATGTCAGTTAATCCCAACTCCCCATTCCTGGTATTCCACCATCCTAAAGTTCCAAAGCTAAATGATGAAAGCAGCACCAGTTTTCACAAAGGAAAACCTATAATCCTCCCTGGCACTCCAGAATGAGTAGCTGCATGGTTCCATTCTGTCAGTTTATTGCGTTTGAAATGATGTTACTTTGCAGTTGAGTTAATTCACTTTTTTCATAGATGTGCGATATACTCTAGTGTACCACAATGACTAATGTGTGTATGTGTGTACGTTTCTTCATCTGTCCTTATGGATGGATGTATTTAGATTGAGCATTTCTAACTTTTTTATTATGAAAAAATTCTCATAGAGAAAAGCTGAAAAATATTACAATGAATATCCATACATAAACACATTGGATCAAAACTTGTTAAGATTTTAACAGATTTGTTTTCTAATATATATGTTTGTTTATCTAAACAATTTGAAATTCAGTTACAGACATTGCAACCATTCATCTCTAAATGTTTCAGCATTTGTCTTCAAATACACCTTTCTCTTGCATTACTGCAATATCATTAATACACATACAAAAACTAATAACAATTCCCTACTAGTACTCTAATGCCTATTTTATATTTAACTTTCCCAAATTGTTATAAAAATATATTTTAATAACTTTTATCAAACTGGATTTAATTCTACATTTATGATTTTTTCACCTCATGCAGTGTGAAATCTTTCTATCTTTCTGTGTTTCCATGATAGTGACTTTTTATGGAGAGTAAGCCAGTTTTCTTAAAGAAAAGCTTACATTTTTGATTCATATAGATATCTTCTCATGCTGTCATTTAAGGTATACACAGAAGTGTCTTCATTTCCTCCCACCCCCCTTCAGCCCTATTTTCCTAATAAGTAATCATCATTCTTAGCTTAGGATTTATATTTCTCATGTTTTGTTTTGAAAATATCAGAGTACATACACACACACGTGTACACACATGCACACACACAAACACTCTGCAAGTCTTGTGTATACAAAATGTGGTCTCTCCTTGAAATTAAGAAACAACAAACACCCTTGTGTATTTACAGTTTAGAAAGGGTCATTGCCCCATGGGCTTCAAAAAACATCCTGGGAGCAACTCAGAACAATAGCTGTAGGTTGCAGGGGTTGGGATCATGGCCCACACTACGCTCAGATCAGAATATCTCAGGGAGCAAGACCTTCAATACTCCCACAATACTAGGGAGTATTGGAAAGCTTGGGCCATGAAGATTATACTTAGCAAGTAAGAGTAATAATACCGAAGCATACCTAAGTTAATTCTCAAACTACACTGTGAGTTAAGCAGTTTTTCCTCCAGTTACTGACACATAAGTTTAGAAAGAAAAAAACATGTCAGCACTTGCAAAAGACATTATCCTGTATCTACAAAATTCAAGATACTCTGCAAACTATTAGAATTAATAAGTCAATTTAATACGTTTGTTGCATATTTCATTGATATGGTTTAGCTGTGTCCCCACCCAAATCTCATCTCGAATCATAGTTCTCATAATCTCCAAGTGTCGTGGGAGAGACCTGATGGGAGGTAATTGAATCATGGGGATGGTTACCCTCATGCTGTTCTTGTAATAGTGAGTGAGTACTCATGAGATCTGATGGGGTTTTACCCCTTTGCTTAGCACTTCTCTCCCCTGCCACCATGTGAAGAAGGCCATGTTTGCTTTCTTTTCTGCCATGATTATAAGTTTCCTGAGATCTCCCCAGCCATGCTGAAGTGTGAGTCAATTAAACCTCTTTCCTTTATAAATTATCCAGTCTTGGGCAGTTCTTTATAGCAGCATGAGAATGGACGAATACAGTAAATTGGTACTACAGACAGTGGGGCATTGCTGTAAAGATACCCGAAATGTAGAAGTGACTTTGGAACTGGGTAACAGGCAGAGTTTGGAACAGTTTAGAGGGCTCAAAAGAAAACAGGAACATGTGGGGAAGTTTGGAACTTCCTAGAGACTTGGAGGCCTCAGAAGACAGGAAGATGTGAGAAAGCTTGAAACTTCCTAGAGACTTGTTGAGTGGCTTTGACCAAAACACTGATAGTGATATGACAATGAAGTTCAGGCTGAGGTAGTCTTGGATGGAGATGAAGAGCTTGTTGAGAACTGGAGTAAGAGTGAATCTTGCTATGCAAAGAAACGGGTGGCATTTTGCCCCTGCCTTAGAGATCTGTGGAACTTCGAACTTGAGAGAGATGATTTAATGTATCTGGCAGAAGAAATTTCTAAGCAGCAAAACATTCAAGAGGAAGCAGAGCATAAAAGTTTGAAAATTTTGCAGCCTGACGATGCCATAAAAAAGAAAAACCCATTTTTTCTGGGGAGAAATCCAAGCCCACTACAGAAATCCGCATTAGTAATGAGGAGCCTAATGTTAATCACCAAGAAAATGGGGAAAATGTCTCCAGGGCACATCAGAGACCTTCACGGAGCCACTCCCATCACAGGCCCAGGGGCCTATGAGGGAAAAATTGTATTATTGGCTGGGCCTAGGACCCTGCTGCTCTATGCAGCCTCAGGACATGGTGCCCTGTGTCCCACCTGCTTCAGCTCCAGCTGTGGCAAAAAGGGGACAATGTACAGCTCATGCCATTGCTTCAGAGGTTGCAATCCCTGTGCCTTGGCAGTTTACACGTGGTGTTGAGCCTGCAGGTGCACAGAAGTCAAGAATTGAGATTTGGGAACCTCTACAGAGATTTCAGAGGATTTATGGAAACACCTGGATTTCCAGGCAGAAGTTTGCTACAGGGTGGAGTCCTTAGGGAAAACCTCTGCTAGGGCAGTGCAGAAGGAAAATGTTGGGTTGGAGACCCCACACAGAGCCTTCACTGAGGCACTGCCTAGTGGAGCTGTGGGAAGAGGGCCACTGTCCTCCAGACCCTGGATGGTAGATCAACTGACAGCTTGCACTGTGCTCCTGGAAAAGCTGCAGGCACTCAATGCCAGCCCAAGAAAGCAGCTGGGAGGGGGTCTGTACCCTGCAAAGCCACAGAGGCAGAGCCACCCAAAACCATGGGAGTCCACCTCTTGCATCAGCATGCCCTGTATGTGAAACATGAAGTCATTCTGGAATTTTAAGCTTTAATAACTGCCCTATTGGATTTTGGACTTGCATGGGGCCTGTAGCCCCTACGTTTTGGCCAATTTCTCCCATTTGGAATGGCTGTATTTACCCAATGGCTGTACTCCCACTGTATCAAGGAAGTAACTGACTTGATTTTGATTTTATAGGCTAATAGGTAGAAGAGACTTCCTTGTATCAGATGAGACATTGGACTTGAACTTTTGACTTAATGCTGGAATGAGTTAAGATTTTGGGGGACTGTTAGAAGGGCATGATTTTGTATTGAAATGTGAGAACATGAGATTTGGGAGAAGCTGGAGCATAATGATATGGATTGCCTGTGTCCCCACCCAAATCTCATCTTGAATTGTAGTTCCCATAATCCCCATGTGTTGTGGGAGGGACCCAGTGGGAGGTAATTGAATCATGGGGGCTGTTACCCTCATGCTGTTCTTGTGATACTGAGTGAGCTCTCATGAGATCTGATCGTTTTATAAGAAGCTTTTCCTCCTTTGCTCAGCACTTCTCCTATTGCCATGTGAAGAAGGATGTGTTTGCTTCTTCTTCTGCCATGATTTTAAGTTTCCTGAGGCCTCCCCAGCCATAAGGAACTGTTAATCATTTAAACCTTTTTCTTATAAATTACCTAGTCTCAAGCACTTCTTTATAGCAGTATGAGAATGGACTAATACAATCATCAATATATAGATCTCAATTATACTTCTGGAAAGCATCAAGAGTCAATAAAACCTTAAGTATGAAAGGATTTATTAAAGCATTAAAATATATTACATTTAGAAAAAACTAATGAAATATTTTCAAGATCTTTATGCACAAAGTAAAAATATTGTTGTGAAATATTATTGAGACTAAAGTAGAATAAATGGAAAGATGTTCTATGTTTATAAATACTATAAAATTCAATATTGGGAACCTATTTCTTCTTCTCAGCTTAATCTATAGTTTATTTGTGAGACTCAGTTAAAATTTTAATATGGTTTTTTAAAACAAAAGTTGATGAGCTGATTCTAAAATTATATGGAAATTAAAGGTGAGAAAACCAATGTGGATTGCAATGGATGTATTTGACAAAAAAACTAATATCCAAAACATATAACGAACTCTTCCAATCATCAAAGAAAAGACAGACAATAATAGGCAAAAGAGTGGATCCAAATGGCCAATAAACATTTGAATAAGTGCTGAACATCACATGTCAACAGAACATGTAAGTTAAAATCAGAATGTACTCTTTACTCAATAGGATGGCTAAGGTGAAAAAGATCAAATGTATCAGGTGTTCAAAAAAATTTAGTTATCATCGTCATCTTCAAGTAGACTATTAGACTGACCAAAATGCCAGGGGCTCGCTTTCTTTAGAGTGAAGGGAGGTTAGGAAACAATGGATTTTGGAAGATCTGGTGGCTTCTAGGACTCTCTTTGGACCATATGATCTAAATATTTTACTATTTTAACATATACATATTGAAAATCTCTTACAAGCAAGGCATCATATGCCAAAAATGATCAAAGATATATTTGTCATTATCCCTGTCTTCAAAACATTGCAAATTAAGAAAAGAATTGTATAAGCCAGATAAAGCTGCAGCATCTAAACCTATACATTTATTAGAGGACTAGAGAATTGTTTAAGCTCTGAAGAACCAATTATTATCTCTAAACTAAGAAATGAAAGTACCACCAACCACGATGGGGATGTTAAGTTTTTACCAAACTTAGTAATATATCAATTTCATTAGTGGATAAATTATGATATTCAAAAAAATTGTATTATAAATGAAGATAATCAGTTCGTTTAATTCCTTAAATTTCAAGAATTTTCAAGTATGTACAAATAGTGCTGAGGAAACACAGCCAGTTTAAAATTTCAAATATTTAAAAGATGAATTATAAAATATAATAACGATTTTAGAGAAAAATTGTTAGGTATTGCCCATGAATATGTTCAATATAATATATGTTAAGATTCCCAAATATGAAAAGGCCTATAATATCTGAGGTCTAAAAATAGTCTTGTCAAGCAAAAATCTTGAACCATTAATTGTGTTCTTATAAAAAAAATGAGAGATTGTAGTAAATATTCTTATTCATGCTCTTAATAGAAATTTACTTAAAAATGGATTAAATAAGCATAATTTTTAAATGTTCTAAAAACTTTTTGTACTTTCAAAAATGCTTATATCTTTGTGGTTTTCTTTCCTCTTTTCTGGCACATTTTGTGTTAGACAGTTAATTATTGTGAGTGTTTCAGAATCGTTTATTAATAAAATATGACATTTCCCTGGCCTGAAAAGTCCCATTAGTGCTTTGCTATAAAAGCCCCATAAATGGAGTTCTAAGTAGTTTATCAGTTTCCTGTTCTCTTTTTGAATGAGAGCCTGAGTCGTTAAAAACAGTAAGCACTAAAATGATTTATTTTTGTCTAAATAGAGATTACTTAATTTAATTAAATATGCTTTATGCTTCTCGATTGCCACAAAGTGGTTCCTGCAAACTTCTAACTCATTATTTAATGTACCCACAGCCTCGGTGGAATACTAAGAGTACACAGGTTTTAGACCTTTTAGCTCCATTTTGTAAACAGCTTTAAAAATTCAAGAACTCTCCGGAAATTCTATGTAAGCCCGTGAAAGTTTCATAGCACCTGATCATTTTTTTACCAAAGTTACTGTACTTTCTTTTGTCCTCATGTAGTTGGAATTTTTTGTACATGTATTTACAACATAGAGACTAAGAATTATCACCACAAACATTAAGGATTGCATTTAAAACTTCTCATGATTTATTTAACTCACCCTGATTCCTTTCATCTCTGTACACACAGATAATTTTCTTATTTGAGAGCTTCATTTTCTGAGTCTGAAATTTAAAAATGTAACAGTTTCACAATTTAAAATAAAGCTTGCTTGATTCTGCTGAGAAAGAGCAAAGAAGAAAAGAAAGTGAACTCTGCAGTTTTCAAATCATGATTATACTGCTTCTCACTGAATTTCTTATATTATAAAATCACACCAGCATTCATGAAAATTACTTTTTTCATTGAACATAAACATAAGTCGATGGCATTATTTTCTTGCTAACTTTCAGACTGCAGTACTTTGAAACTAAAGCAGGCATCAGCATTGTTCATAGAAGCCAAGGAGATAGTAGCACCTGTGCGTATGTGTAGTATTCAAGGACCCTGAAGTCAGGCTGAGTTTGCAAACCAATTTTACTACCACTGGCTATAAGGGAGGCCATATTTCCTCTCTGAGTCTCAATTTCTTCTCCTGTAAAATGACAATTATAAGAGTACGTGTGTCATTTATTGCCAGGAATAAATGAGTGAATACAGTCATGCCCTGCGTAACAATATTTCAGTCCATGATGAACGGCATATCCTATAGTGGTCCCACAAGATTAAAATGGAGCTAAAATTTTGTATTGTCTAGTGACATTGTAGTCATCTTAATGTCATAGCACAATGCATTACTCATGTGTTTGTGGTGATGTTGGTGTAAACAAGTCTACTGCCTTGCCAAGTCCTATAAAACTATTATGCAAGTAGTACATTAACACTTGATAATGATAATAAACATCTTTGTTACTGGCTTAGGTATTTATTATACTTTTAATTGTTATTTAGAGTCTACTTATTAAAAAACAAGTTAACTGTCAGCTTCAGGCAGGTCTTTCAGAAAGTATCCACAGGAAGCCTTTGCGATCATAGGAGATGACAGCTCTATGCATGTCATTGCCCCTGAAGACCTCCCAGTGGGACAAGATGTGGACGTGGAAGACGTGATATGGATGATCCTGACCCTGTGTAGGCCTAGGCTAATGTGTTTTTATGTCTCAGTTTTTTACAAAATAGTTTAAAAAATTCAAAATAGAAAAAAAGCTTATAGAGTAGGGATATAAATAAAGAAAATATTTTTGTAAAGTTGTACAGTGTGTTTGTGTTTTAAGCTAAGTGTTATTACAAGAGTCAAAAAGGCTAAAAAAGTAAAGTTATAAAACAAAAAAGTTACAGTGAGCTAAGGTTAATTTATTATTGATGAATGAAAACATATAAATTTAGTGTAACCTAGGTGTACAGTGTTGATAAAGTCTACAGTAGTGGACAGTTATGTCCCAGGATGTCACATTCACTCACCACTCACTGACTGACTCACCCAGAGCAACTTCCAGTCCTGCAAGCTTCATTCATGGTAAGTATCCTAGACACATGTACTATTTTCAAAAATCTTTTATACCATATTTTTATTGACCCTTTTCTATGTTTAGATACACAAGTACTTACCATTGTGTTGCAGATGCCTGCAGTACTCAGCACAGTAATGTGCTGTACAGGTTTGTTGCCTGGAGCAGCAGGCTGTACCATAGAGCCTAGGTGTGTGGTGGGCTGTCCAGTCTAGGTGTGTGGAAGTGCACCCCATGATGTTCCACGGTGCATTCCTCAGAATCTGTCTCCATCATTAAGTGATGCATGGCTGCACATGCAGATTGTGTCGCACAGCATCTGTCACTTACTGAGCACTCAGCAAATGTTAACTTGTATCAGCTACAGTGGGTTTAGCACCACTTTAATGCTAGACTTTTACACTTTATGTACAATCTATCCAATCTTCACAATCTTGCAGAGTAGATATATGTTGTCATTTACAGATGATGAACCCTGGCAACAGAATGATTTGCCCATGGCCTTAGAAGAGATGAATGTCAGAACCAAAGGTCAATCCAGCTCTAGACCACCAACCCCAACATTTTCTAACCTAATGTCTCCCGTCCAGAAGAGACAAATCTGAAAAACAAATCAAAATCCAAAAATAAAAGTCTTGCTTTGGACACTCCCAATACCTCAAAAACCTGAAACATCACATCTTTTGTAGGTAAGCGACATGGTTTGGCTGTGTCCCCACCCAAATCTCACCTTGATTTGTAGCTCCCATAATTTTCACGTGTTGTGGGAGGGACCCGGTGGGAGATAATTGAATCATGGGGGCAATTTCCCTCATGCTGTTCTTGTGGTCGTGTGCACAAACTGAAGTCTCACGAGATATGATGCTTTTATAAAGGGTTTCCGCTTTTGCTTGGTTCTCATTCTCTCTTGCCTGCTGCCACGTAAGGCATGCGTTTTACCCTCCGCCATGATTGTGAGGTGTCCCCAGCCACGTGGAACTGTGAGTCCATTAAACTTCTTTTTCTTTTTTCTTTCTTTCTTTTTTTTTTTTTTCTTTTTTTCATTATACTTTAAGTTCTAGGGTACATGGGCACAATGTGCAGGTTTGATACATAGGTATATATGTGCCATGTTGGTTTGCTGCACCCATTAACTCATCATTTATCTTAGGTATTTCTCCTAATGCTATCCCTCCCCCGGTCCCCCACCCCCTCAGCAGGCCCCGGTGTGTGATGTTCCCCACCTTGTGTCCAAGTGATCTCATTGTTCAATTCCCACCTATGAGTGAGAACATGTGGTGTTTGGTTTTCTGTCCTTGTGATAATTTGCTGAGAATGATGGTTTCCAGCTTCATCCATGTCCTTGCAAAGGACATGAACTCATCTTTTTTATGACTGCATAGTATTCCATGGTGTATATGTGCCACATTTGCTTAATCCAGCCTATCATTGATGGACATTTGGGTTGGTTCCAAGTCTTTGCTATTGTGAAAAGTGCTGCAATAAACATACGTGTTCATATGTCTTTATAGTAGCACGATTTATAATCCTTCGGGTATATACCCAGTAATGGGATTGCTGGGTCAAATGGTAATTCTAGTTCTAGGTCCTTGAGGAATCGCCACACTGTCTTCCACAATGGTTGAACTAATTTACACTCCCACCAACAGTGTAAAAGCGTTCCTATTTCTTCACATCCTCTCCAGCATCTGTTGTTTCTTGACTTTTTAATGATTGCCATTCTAACCAGCATGAGATGGTATCTCATTGTGGTTTTGATTTGCATTTCTCTGATGATCAGGGATGATGAGCATTTTTTCATGTGTCTGTTGGCTGCATAGATGTCTACTTTTGAGAATTGTCTGTTCATATCCTTTGCCCACTTTTTAATGGGGTTGTTTTTTTCTTGTAAATTTGTTTAAGTTCTTTGTAGATTCTGGATATTAGCCCTTTGTCAGATGGGTAGATTGCAAAAATTTTCTCCCATTCTGCAGGTTGCCTGTTCACTCTGATGGTAGTTTATTTTTGTTGTTGTTGTTGTTGTTCTTTTTTTTTTTTTTATTGATCATTCTTGGGTGTTTCTCGCATAGGGGGATTTGGCAGGGTCATAGGACATTAGTGGAGGGAAGGTCAGCAGATAAACAAGTGAACAAAGGTCTCTGGTTTTCCTAGGCAGAGGACCCTGCGGCCTACCGCAGTGTTTGTGTCCCTGGGTACTTGAGATTAGGGATTGGTGATGACTCTTAAGGAGCACGCTGCCTTCAAGCATCTGTTTAACAAAGCACATCTTGCACCGCCCTTAATCCATTTAACCCTGAGTGGACACAGCACATGTTTCAGAGAGCACCGGGTTGGGGGTAAGGTCACAGATCAACAGCATCCCAAGGCAGAAGAATTTTTCTTAGTACAGAACAAAATGGAGTCTCCTATGTCCACTTCTTTCTACACAGACACAGCAACAATCTGATTTCTCTATCTTTTCCCCACATTTCCCCCTTTTCTATTTGACAAAACCGCCATCATCATCATGGCCCGTTCTCAAAGAGCTGTTGGGTACACCTCCCAGATGGGGTGGCGGCCGGGCAGAGGGGCTCCTCACTTCCCAGAAGGGGTGGCCGGGCAGAGGCGCCCCCCACCTCCCGGATGAGGCGGCTGGCCGGGTGGGGGCTGCCCCCCACCTCCCTCCCGGACTGGGCGGCTGGCTGGGCGGGGGCTGCTCCCCACCTCCCTCCTGGATGGGGCGGCTGGCCAGGCAGAGATGCTCCTCACTTCTCAGACGGGGTGGCTGCCGAGCGGAGGGGCTCCTCACTTCTCAGACGGGGCGCTGCTGGACGGAGGGGCTCCTCACTTCTCAGACGGGGCTGCCGGGCAGAGACGCTCCTCACCTCCCAGACGGGGCGGTGGGGCAGAGGCGCTCCCCACATCTCAGACGATGGGCGGCCGGGCAGAGACGCTCCTCACTTCCTAGACAAGATGGTGGCCGGGAAGAGGCGCTCCTCACTTCCCAGACTGGGCAGCCAGGCAGAGGGCCTCCTCACATCCCAGACGATGGGCGGCCAGGCAGAGATGCTCCTCACTTCCCAGACGGGGTGGTGGCCGGGCAGAGGCTGCAATCTCGGCACTTTGGGAGGCCAAGGCAGGCGGCTGGGAGGTGGAGGTTGTAGCTAGCCGAGATCACGCCACTGTACTCCAGCCTGGGCAAGATTGAGCACTGAGTGAACGAGACTCCGTCTGCAATCCCGGCACCTCGGGAGGCTGAGGCTGGCAGATCACTCGTGGTTAGGAGCTGGAGACCAGCCCGGCCAACACAGCAAAACCCCGTCTCCACCAAAAAAAATACGAAAACCAGTCAGGCATGGCGGCGCATGCCTGCAATCGCAGGCACTCCGCAGGCTGAAGCAGGAGAATCAGGCAGGGAGGTTGCAGTGAGCCGGGATGGCAGCAGTACAGTCCAGTCCAGCTTTGGCTCGGCATCAGAGGGAGACCGTGGAAAGAGAGGGAGAGGGAGACCGTGGGGAGAGGGAGAGGGAGAGGGAGACTGTGGGGAGAGGGAGAGGGAGAGGGAGAGGGAGACCATGGGGAGAGGGAGAGGGAGAGGGAGAGCTTTTTTTTTTTTTGAGACAGAGTCTTGCTCTGTCTCCCAGGCTGGTGTACAGTGGCGTGATCTCGGCTCACTGCAAGCTCCGCCTCCTGGGTTCACGCCATTCTCCTGCCTCAGCCTCCCGAGGAGCTGGGACTACAGGCACCCACCACCACGCCCAGCTAATTTTTTTGTATTTTTAGTAGAGACGGGGTTTCACCGTGTTAGCCAGGATGGTCTCGATCTCCTGACCTCGTGATCCACCCGCCTCGGCCTCCCAAAGTGCTGAGATTATAGGCGTGAGCCACCGGGCCCGGCCCTAAACTTCTTTTTCTTTATAAATTACCTGGTCTCAGGTATGTCTTTATCAGCAGTGTGAAAATGGACTAATACAGTGAGAAAAGAAAGCTGATGAAAAACCAAAGGGAAGTTGGAAATGTGTTGTATTCACTGATTGAGGAGTCTGGGAAAAGTCCCAGCAAACCCCTTCCCCCATCCTCCATAAATCTGTCTTCCTAGACATGGCAGATCTGGGGAATATGGCATCACACAACTTCCAAAGGCCAGCAACCAAATAGAGGTCCCAGAGTCAAGCAGGTCACAGTTGCACAACCACACCCAACCTGAGGAGCTGTCAGCACATGGATACTCAGGAAACTGGATGTCTGCTTGTAGATCACAGCTTAGAGACCGGCGCTCTGTCTACCTTACCTACAGTGAAGGGTGGACAGCTTACCCTTTCAATCGCTAACACTCTCGGTAGATTTTTAGAGACATAGGTGCATAGAGAAAATACATCTCATTTTTAACTTTTTACCTTCTCCCTTTTCCTCACTCTCAGCTGACGACATGAGTTTTTATTTCTCTGAGAAACTAGAAACTAGAAGAGACTTTGCACAAACTTAACCCACCACACAAACCCACATGAATAGAATCTCACTCACATGCTTGCTTTCCAGGCAGTATCCACAGGTAAGTAACCCATGCTTCTTAATTTAAAGCCACTTCCTCTGCTTGTACATAGACATCCCCCATCGAAAGCTTAGCACAAGTGCTGCATGAGTTAAACTCATCGGACACCGCCTACTTCTATGAGGAGAAGAAAGATAACCAGAGAGAGAATCCATGAAAAAGACAGATGTCCTAACACTTACGGGCTTCGCAGTCTTAATTCCAGGGTCCATAGCTGGTTACATTAAACCTCGGAGTCCGCTGTGTCCTCATTAAAGCAAAAGACAAACTTCCAAGCCTACAAGTGTTGTATACCAAGTGTAGAATTAACTTTGTGTTTTATTTCCTCATAAACATCTCAGTTGTAAGGGGAAAACAAATGTGTAGCTTTATTATCTTGGGAAACTCTACAGAGCAGTTTTATTAAGAACTTTCTCTTCCTCTCCTAACTCTCTTAGCATAAATTTTTATTTCTCCCACTAAAATGTATCATTGCACTTAAAAAATGTTTATTTGTCTATCTATCTCTGAACTCTGGTTTTCAAAACTCTTGAAATCAATATAACATGGCATGTGCATTTATAAATAATTTAAAAGTGAATGAGGATATACACACATATGTGTATACATATGTGTGTATATATAATCTGTGTATACGTGTGTGTATGTATATGTGTATGTGTATATGTGTTTATGTATGTGTGTGTATGTGTTTATATATCAGTGTGTGTTTATATGTGTGTGTATAGAATATACATGTATATATTCTTCTACAGCTGATAGGAATATGGTGCTGGTTAAGCTCTGAATTGTTTCTTCTCTTCTCCTAGAAACATTTAGAGAAATAAACTGAACAACCACAATCTGAAATTTTGGGGAAACTTTTGTGAAAACATGCAAACTCCAAATTGTTACCCCGTGTTGCCAAAGAAAGTGAGGGGAGCAGAATCCGCAGAAGAAGCTGCAGGGACGTTTTGGTGTGGTGGGAAGTGCAAGGAGAAGAGCGCTGCCTCAGGTACAGGAAACTGCGGTGCCCAGCTGGAGGCAGCGGCACCAGAAAGAGTGGCACCCAGCTGGAGGCAGCCCCATGCACAGGGCGGGGTTTCTGAGGGAGACAGGAAAGATGGTGGAGGAAGCTCTCCACAGGGAGCCAAAGGAAGCCCATCTCAGGAAGCACCTTCTTCTAAGAAGCATGCAAGAACGTGTTCTGACAGTTCTCTCCTCTGTGCTAGATCTTCACTCTGCCGATCACACAAAACCAAAAGAAAGAGAAAAAATATCTCCAAGATAACATTTCTGCATCTCAGAAGAGTAAGATACAAATAAGAGCATATATTTTCAATAGAAAATTCATATGCAAATAGTTTATGAACATAAGGAAATACACAAGAAAGTTCTCATTCTCAATGCCACTCAGATGAAGAGATATGCAAATGTAAAATTACACTGAAATGCCACTTATCTCCTTTCAGATCAGCAAAATTTACAAAAACTTGACAACATAGTTTGTTAGTAAGGTCAAAAGAAAATATATACTCTTAATCCTGGTGGGAATACAAACTTCTATATTATTAAGGAGGGCAATTGGCAGCATATATTAAAATAAAATAAAATGAAAACTAAAACAGAATTGCCTTTATGTTTTGTACCAGCAATCCAATATCTTGAAATTTACTTTGCAGATGTAAATCTCTCATACAAAAAAGGAAGGCTATTCCTACCTACATTGGTACATTGGTACACATTTATTTGTGTAATGTTATTGGATAGTGAAAATTGCAAACAAGGTAGCCTGATACCCAAAACAAAAGGTGATAAATTTAAATTACTCAAAATTAAAAACATTCGCTCTTCAAAATATATTATCAAAAAATAATAAGTGAAGCCATAGGTTGGGAAAAAAATGTTTGAAAAAATTCGTCTGAGAAATGACGTGTATCTAAAACAAGTACAGAACACTTAGAACACAATGAGAACCAAGAAGGCAGAGTTATGTCCCTGAGTAATTCAGTTCCAAGGGAAGGGACTAGAAGTCAGTGTGTTAGTAGTATATGCTGAGCTGTATATATTAATACTATGATATTATGAGGAAGAGATCCATTCAGAAAAAAATATGCGTGGTTTGGAAGTAGAAAGAAAATAAAATAGTCTATAAGATTGGGAACTTTAAGTTCTGGAAAATAAAAGATTGTTTGGATCCAAACTCATATAAAAAAGGAAAAAAATGGGGGTGCTCACTAAAACTTCTCACTTTAAGAGATTTGTAGCAAAGTCATTCAAGGAGATAGACTTCCTGCTTAAGCCTATGTACTCAGACTTCAGCAAGAGTTTCTGCTAAATGGAGAGAGAAGCAGGACGGCAAGAAATAAATTAACAAGGCAGACCTGAAAATATGTCAAGAAAAGGACACACTGTTTTTTGTTTACTGGCAACAACTCATAGGAAGCAAACAGATTAGAAGAGTGAAAAGATTGGGAGGAAATGTTGTTGCCAAAGAAACCATGAGGCTGATTTAAAAAAAAAAAAAATCCTGTAACAGTTTTGTTAGCCTCAGGAATAAACCCAATCCAAAACTGTACAGAGAACAGTCTACGAAAGCCAGGCAGCAGCCAAGGAAGGTGCACTCCTCAATCCCCAAGGCAGAGAAGGTCATCGGGAGAAATGCCAAAGGAGGGACCTCCCAGCAAACCCCGGCGAACAAGAAAGTTCATCTCAGAAGGCAAAGTTGAGGTCCCATCAAGGCATCCCCCCACCTTCAGATAGGGGTTCCTCACATGCCTTCCTGGCAAAAATGCCATGCAACCCCCCAGTCAGGGTTTCTCTTTTGCAGAGTGGAGCATTCCTTATCACTGTTTGATCTTTTTATACTGGATAGGGATGCGTTGGGAAGATAAGTGTCATTTTAGGTCACTGAGCCCAAGGAACCGTATTTAGAACTCTGGAGAGGAATGATCATCACCTAAAGATTCTTGGGCTTTGGCCTGAATACAGGGACTGCATGGGACTCTGGTCATCTCCCTTGGATAAAAGTGATTATATTCTATACATGAGGGGAAAAGTTGAAACTGCCATTTAGTGGTGATAAACCAGGCTGTGGCACATCTTTAAGTTACATCTGTTTTTCTCTTGTGTCTGGACCTTTCCTCCCCACATCCTGTATTTATAATATCCCATGTTTTGCTCTTTCCATTGACCTGATGTAGAAAAAAATATTGACTTTGGGAACTACATATCAAAGATGGCAGAGCTTCCATCTGTCTGAATTACTAAAATGTCTGCAAGACAGCTTATCCTGCCTCTTTCTTTCCCCTAGCCCTGAGCTTGGTACCACTCAGGAATGTTACTTGAACATGAAATAGTCTTGTGTTCTATTGCAAAGTTACCTCCTTTGGGGACAACTTATTTTTAGGTTGGTAACTACTATAACTGATGTATTATTTACCCGTGATGTAGTCTGTACCCTTAGTCTTTTGATACTAACTCTTGTAGCGTATACCATAATGGGCACCCACATTGCATCTGTACATACCCTCTCCCAGCTCTGAACACCCAGATTCCTGATAGTTCTGACCATCACAATCAATATTGCAACATAGTCCTCATTCCTGACTACTGCTAAACTTCTAATAATTTATTTTGAGGAGTGGCAAAATATATCATTTTTTTTCCTGGGCCATATGTATTTAACTTAACTTTTCATATATATGATGGATTTGTTAATAGATAATATCAACTACTTGCCACAATTTGGTAAAGAAAATAGACATAAACTAGATTTAAAAACTTTCTATGTCCAGCCGTCTACTCAACATCTCAATTTGCTGTACCAATTTGTCCAAAAAGTAGCTGAGTTTTCCTTTTGTTTCAGACCTGGCAATATTTCTGAATGAGAAAAAAAATCAAACAAGATTGGTCTAAGCAAAATAACATTTTTTCGACCTCATGGAAACGTGAAGAGTCTAGGATCAACATGACTGCTCCACAGTAATCAGAACCATAGGTTCCTCCCATCTCCTCACCCCAACACCTTCTCACCCCTCCCACCTCTTAACCCTCCCACCTTCTCAATCCTCCCATCTTCTCACTCTTCCCACCTCCTCACTCCTCCCACCTCCTCACCCCTCCCACCTCTTCACCCCTCCCACCTCTTCACCCCTCCCATCTCCTCACTCCTCCCATCTCCTCGCCCCACCACCTCCTCACCCCTCCCACCTCCTCAGCCCTCCCACATTCTCACCCCTCCCACCTTCTCACCCCTCCCACCTCTTCACCCCTCCCATCTCCTCACTCCTCCCATCTCCTCACTCCTCCCATCTCCTCACCCCCCCACCTCCTCACCCCTCCCACCTTCTCACCCCTCCCACCTCCTCACTCCTCCCATCTCCTCACCCCTCTCACCTTCTCACTCCTCCCATGTTCTTGCCTCTCCCATCTTTTTGCTCTTGTCTTCTTATTGCCACTCCCACCTTCTTGCTCTTCAAGGCTCACACTCTGACTCTCACCTCAGGAGCTGAAATGCTTTCGTTAATTCTAGCCACCCAATATACGTTCTAGCCTTTGGAAGTAAGGAGAGATGAAGAAATATACAAATTTCCCCCGGCCTTTAAGGACACCTCCTAGAAATTTCACATAATTTAGGGTCTATGAAACAAACCTAATACATTTTTCCATGCATCATTTCTAATGAATTTGAGAAAGAACTCAAAGGAGTTGCAGACTGAAGCTAACATATAATTTTAATGGCACAGAGAATCCTGATTGTATGTGTGTTGGTCAGGTGGTCACAGACAATACTGAACCTTCACACCAGACCACAGGCAGATTCCCCGTAGAGAAGCAGGGGTCATTTTCCCTGCAAGCATCTTATTCCAAAGAGAAAGAAAGGTAGAATGGAGCCAGGCATGTGTAGTTATTCTTTCCAAACTTACAAACCAATAGCCGCCCCCGCTACTAGGAGACAAAGAAGCCAGCAGAATGTTTTGGATAAATCCCTTTTCACAAAAACCAGAAGTTAAAACATTCATCTTTAACACACAGTATAATATCTATATACTATATACTATACTATCCTCCTCGTGTTAGCTGGGACGTGATCACAGGGTCACATCTGAATGCAAGGAATCCTAGGCAATGTAGTATCTACTCAAGGTGCTCTTGTGCTCCATTAAAATTTAGAGGTACTGTTCCTAAGGAAGGAGAAATTATCATTATTTGTGGCACAAAGTACTGTTTTGTTTGCAGTCTTTCTTTTCTTTTCTTTTCTTTTTTGTCACCTGAATATTCCTGTGTATATTTCCTGTACATACTCTCTCCCCAAAAGACATGACCCCAGGGTAACCTCCAATTATTCTGCACATCATTCAAATGCCAGGATGTCTAGAGACTTGCAGACCTCTTCATCAAGGCTAGATATGAATCTTTGTGCCATGGTATCAATAAGATAAAAAATACGTCACCTGCCCATAACATGCCCAATGTGAAAGGGGAGTAGAAAGGGGATAACTTTAGAGAACCCTCTATTCAGGAAAGGGGGCAATGGAACCCACGGTCAGCGATGGGCAAGAACAATTTCAGACTCTGTGCGTGAGTCCATGCACTGCTGCCCCAGGCCAGATTCAGTGCTTTGGGTTGTCTCTGTTCCATGTGTCCAAGAGCCCCCACTTTCTCATTGTCTTTCTTGGCGCCTGACTTATTCCCTGGGAAGTTTTTCCTTCTTTAATATTTGTTCATGGTGAGCTTTAGGGAGCCCACTCTTCTGGGGCATTGTACAGACTTTTCAGCATCCTTCTTCATGAAGCGGATTCATGAGTCAGGACTACAGGTTGTTTTAGGGGTTACCTGATAGATGCTATTGAAATCCGTGTATATGATCTCTTTGGCAATACCATTTCCTATGAAAACTCTTCGCTGTCTGGTGTATTTGCATGTAGCCAGCCCCTTGTGTGAGTATTCCCACCCACAGTTTTTGTCTGTATGCTATGCTAAACCTGAAGACTCAGATCTTCTTTCTGTAGGTCTCTGTTCTGCCCAATATTCTCTTATCTTTAAACTGGCTGACAGCTATTTTATGGCCATCTAGAACAACAGGCTGTCATAGGGAAGAAATTCCTGTAGTCCTTTCACCTTCCTATGGCAGGACACTAGGCTTATCATCTGGTAAGATATAGTTTGACAGCTACGGCTAGGATGCCAATGCAAGTGACATCCTATACCTTTCTAGGTTCTGAATTATGGGCAGACCTTACTTAAAACCCTACGTCAAATAATAATCCCTTTCCTGAAATTCCATAGCCCCTTTTCCCCTTCCCTGCCTGTGTTTCTCCATGGTTCTTAACACCATCTGGCAGACTCTATTTTACTCATAAGGCTGTTTACTTTCTGTTGGAATGGACGCTCCAGAAGGGCTGTGCTTTGTTTTATTCGATGCTATAGCCCAGGGTGGGGAATAGCAGTGCCTGCTTCTACCATGTGCTCAGTGACTATTCGTAGAACAATGCCCAGTCCTATTGAGTCATGGGTCCACTGGGAGGGAGCAAAATAGATAATTCTCTTTCAACTCTATTGTTCTATTAATTTGCATTTTCATCATATAGTAGTCGAAAAGTTCAAGGAATCTCTGCTGTGTGCTTCTGGGGTCTCAGGACTCACACTCTTCCACCAGACAACACATGCGTTATTGGCGGTACACCTGCACTCTCCCTTTGTTGAAAAGGCATGAATGTATAGACACAATATTTTAAGTAGTAAACGAGCACATGTTACTTTAAAAATTCTTTCCTTTCAGAAAAGTTTTATTATTGAGCTTCTTCTCTGTGTTAGTGGCCTTAACAGCACTGAGAATGTGAGGAAAGAAAAAGCACAACCCGTGTCTTCAATGCCAGCAGAACTCTGGACACTTACATCTGGAAGTAAATCCGTCTGAGTCAGTGCAATGTGTTATAATGGAGGGAGGCACTAAGGAGGAAATTGGAGGCCAGGATAACTCTTCCAGGGTGCGTGACAACAGAGGATGGGAATCAGGAGCAAATTTCCACAGAAAAACAATGATAAAATCGCCCATGCTCTTCAGGGGCCACAGCCTAAACCTAGACCCCCAGCGCACCCTAACTCTGGGCTCTGAACTCAGCCACCAAGCCGCTGCAGCTCCCCCACCCACTGAGCACTCCCGACGGCAAGCGCACCTCTTCTGTCTCATCTATCCTATCAAACTGAGATGAATTTCCACTGATTCTTATAAATTCTCCTCCACACATGTCTAGTTGTCATTTTACAAACTCATTTTATTCAGTATAAATAGTCATTATCAGGTTAGAAGTGACTTTTCCCCAGGGTGTTACTATTTATTTATTTATTTATTTATTTTTTTTGAGATGGAGTCTCTCTCTGTCGCCCAGGCTGGAGTGCAGTGGCGTGATCTCGGCTCACTGCAAGCTCCGCCCACCGGGTTCGCGCCATTCTCCTGCCTCAGCCTCCCGAGTAGCTGGGACTACAGGCGCCCGCCACCACGCCCGGCTAATTTTTTGTATTTTTAGTAGAGACGGGGTTTCGCCGTGTTAGCCGGGATGGCCTCGATCTCCTGACCTCGTGACCCACCCGTCTCAGCCTCCCAAAGTGCTGGGATTACAGGCGTGAGCCACCGCGCCCGGCCGGGTGTTACTATTTTAACATAAGCAAAGGAGTATTGAAATTGGAAAAATAATTTGACGCTGGGAATGAGTTGCCAAAGCAGGAAGGAGGAAGGAGTTATCTGGGGTCAGAGGAAGTTTCTTGGTACTCCTAAAATCATAGCAGAAGCAGCCACCGTCTCTGCAGTTGGTGAAGTCTGATTCCTCATTGTTTGTGGAATGCCTTGGATGCAGGGAATCCTGACCTGCTGATTCCAAGCACATATGATGACGCCCACTTGAGGGGAGTCCAGTAGCAGTCTCTGATAGTCTTTAAACACATGGCGCCAGGATGTGCTTGGTTTATTTTAGGACAGAGGTTTCCACATGGGGGAATTGCAATGATTTGAACCAAACTAATTTCTCCCCTCTCTACAACTGATAACACATGGCCTTGATTAGAGATACTCAGGAGTGCCTTTTTAAAATTCACATATCTTTCTGCACAAAAACTAATGGTCCATTGAGTCAGGATTCTGCATGTGATGGTAGTTGGTGCCAGATGTTCCAGAGGAAAGCAGACATCCCCACAATGAAGCTAACCATGAAAAACTCAAGCACAGGGAGAAATCCTTTCTGACCCCAGGTGGAAATCAATCACAGGTCTTGAAGCAAAGGATCATTACTGTTGGCAAAATTTCGTATTGGCAAGTGCTGTTGCAAACACGATTTTTTCATACAAATTAAGCTAAATGCATTATGAACAGTTGGTAACTATTATCAGTTACTACACTTTTCAACACTCTTTAACAATTTTCCTCAACTCCTACCATGTTAATAGATGTGTTAATCACTGCCTAAACAAGGCAAATAATGAGACATCTTAATTTGCCACTATAGATGGAGAAAGAGGAATATTGGAACTATAATGACAAAATAACACACATTTAAAAGAGATGTTTTCTTAGATATGACGGTAATGAGAATCTTGGGATGTTCAGGGAAAATTTTTAATAACTAATTGAGAATACAAAAGAAATATATGCAGAGATGTTTCTGTGTACCTCACACTGTTACTTATAAAGTCAGAATTGGGAGCAGTGGTGGAGAAGCTAAATAGAGTATTTTTATGGGATCCACCTCTCTGCCACCAGTGATTTCATGAAATATATTTATGAATAAATGGTTATGAAAACATATGCAATGTGATTCAGTCAAGGTTATCAGTCTATGTATTGTGGAAAGATACCAAAAATTTTTTAAAAGTCTCTTAGAATGGATTCATTATGTTACATTTCTCTTTATTTTTGTCTGTGAAAAATATGTATTACATTGTAGTCTAGGAAATATAAGTTGTTTTGAGAAAAAACATACCAATACTACGGTTGTTTAAAACAAAAAGCTCCATCCGAAGTCAGGCACTCTCTTCAACAATTCTCTTTGGAATGGTGACACAGGTTAGACTTTTCCAAAAGATCTTTAACAAACTCTGAGAGAGAGAATAAAACAGAAACAGCAAAGAAAAAAACAGGAAACATAAAAACAGCCAAGCTTTCAAACTACAGGTTTCGTAGCCCATAATAACTACTTTCTAAGCTTGCATACTGTGTTTTAGTCGTCATCCTGTCTTGTTCTAGCCCAGAGGTTGAGTACAACTATTCAGACAACATGCTGTAACTCCTGCACTTTCAGCTCTAGGCAAAGATTCTATCTTATTTTCAAAACACACAAAAAAGTTATCTTCAGGCCATCCCAAATTCTCCCTTCCATGAAGTGAAAAAACACCGAATTCAGGTAAGGGCCTATTTATTCTGATTTTTGTTGAGGGATATCAATGATTGGAAGCCAATTGAAAGGCCTTTTGTAACTGATAAAATTAATGAATCTGCTCTTCAAATGACACAGGATTTTTCTTGGCCCTTTTGCTGGGCTCACAGCGGGGGCACCCCATCTACTCAGCCCGCCTGGGTCAAGTCTAACTTGCACACTGGCTTAGCCCATGGCTGGGCCTGGTGTGCCCCAGCTCGCCTGTGTTATAGCTTGTACCCATGTTCAGTGGTTCTCGAGCTCTTGTCCAGCATCCAAGAAGAATGAGAATACACTGACGATTGAAGACTGAGGAGGGCAGAGCATAACTTTATTGAGTGATGGAACACTCTCAGCAGTGAGAGGGGATGCGACGTGGTCCCTCACCCCCTCAGTTGGGTGGTTTCTCTCTCAGTGTGGCTGAGTCCGGGACTTTTATGGGCTCAGAATACAGGAGTCCACTCTGATTGGTTTGTGAATATGCAAAGAAAGCTAAAGCAAAGGTACCACTCAAAGGTGGGCACGGCAGTGTAGAAGACCAATTAGAAAAGGGTAGGCATATGTAAAACAGGTGAAGGCTGGGGATCAATCAGAGGAATGTGCACCAAATGGGAAGACAAGTTCTCAATCTGGTCTGAAGACTTACCTGAGACTTGTAGGTAGGCTTTGAACTGTCTTCAGCTTGAAGGTGGAGTTTCACCAGGCACCTGCCCTATCTGCCTAGGCATTTGCCTGTCTCTGGCTGCTATCAGAAACACATGTTATTGTTTGTTTGTTTGTTTGTTTTTGGTTTTTGTTTTTCCTTTCCTTTACCACAACCATGACAGATTATAGAATGACCTATCCAAGACCAGTGTTATCTCTATATTTCTATGTGACTCTTTTTCAAGAACCACAGTACTTCTAAAACAGAAAGTACACATAAAGAAATATAGGACCTTAAATATATCTTTCCCGCTTCCAAATTTAGCTCAGAACTTACTTATTTGAGGAAACTTGTGTCCTCTAATTCGTTCCGATTTTTATCATTTGATTTGCATGCCAGCATTTATTTTCTTATTTTGAGTCTCCTGCTAATTAATATTTAAGCTTTTGCTTTTTCCTGCTTTTCCATTCCATATTTCCATTTTTCTGTCCCTTGATTGGTTCAGCATAGCATAGTAATTATAATAAGGATTTGGGAGTCTGAAGTCCTAATTTCATATCTCAAATGTTCCATAGTTTAATCTCTGTGATTTTGTGAAAATTACTTAATCTTTCTAATTCTCAGATTCCTTATCTGAAAAACAGAGATAACAGTCCCTCTTTCATGGGCATTTGGGGAAGATCTAATGAGATAATGGTTGTCAATTATTTACCACCATGCCTGGCACATAGTAAAGTTTGAAATAATGTAACCTGCCATAATGCCTATAGCAGTCAGAGTTTATATGGATTCTGTTCACAGCATCTTTTGTGAAGACTTATTAATTAGTCACTTGTATAGTTAATTAATTATTGCTTTTAGGGATGGGGACCCTCCATGAAATACATCATTAGCAACTGTGGGGCATTTAGAGTTGAGATGACCATGCATTCTTACTCTGAGCAAAAATCTCTGTCCAAGAAGCAGGAATATATTGAGGCTGGGGACACACTCCCATCATGCACACTCACCCCCTGTTATTGCAGACAAATGAATTAGAGCTTCTGCTGTACACAGCCAGGAGTGGAAACAGGTGAGCGATTAGACCCGAGCAGATGTACAAACTAGAAATCTAATCTTCTACAAGAAACCCTAGAAAACATGACTTGATCTCAGCTCACCACAGTGTTGTGGTTAAAGAGATGAAAACAGCCTAATATGGCTTGTTATCTTTTCCTTCTTTCTATTCATTTTACAAGCAGTTTGGAAAGCTTCCCAGATGCTAATCTATAAGTCTTTCCAAATAGCACCTCAGAGGCCAGAGAAATGGGAGGGCTGTGGGGAAAACCTAAATTTGTTAACAGGGTGGATTTTCTCTTTCCGTAAGTTAGTGGATTCTTCTGTGTCTATTCCAAGGGTAGAGAAAAGATTCTGCCTGTTACTGAGCTTCAGCAAACACACAAATCAAACATGCCTCTTGTCTGCAGCCAGACAAGCCGACGTGTGTTGCAGCTGCCGAGTCATCCATCCTCGGAGCTGTGTGTCAGAGCTTGGCCGAGAGCAGGATCCATGACAGGGACAGGGGTTATTTCGCAGCAGAGTTAAGGCATCATTTTTCCTTCCCAGCAGTGCTCCCGTTTGAACTCCTCTCCAGATGTTTTTCCCTCTACCATGTAAGGAGCAAAGTGATGGGCTCAGATGAGCCAAGGTAGAAGAAAACAAAATGAATTGACTAGTCCAGGAGGTACTCTCATAAGACACACCCACCTCACCCCTTGTTTTGTGCAGTCCTATTTCCAGAATAAGGGGAGGAGGAGGCCTGATTGGAGGAATGATGCTGAGATCAGAGACCTGGCCTTTGTCATGGTGGTGGAGAAGGCAGAAAAGCACCACTGGCTGCAAAAATTCCCTTGCGCTTTCTCTCAAGAATGAAATGGATGTGATTATTGCAGATGGGAAAAGTATTTTAATTTCCAAGTTAAAGATGCATGGAAAGATATAGGTAGGAGAAGAAAGAAACCTGGGCTGCTGATTTATTCAGAAGTGAAGAGAGAACAGAAGAGAAACACATTGAATATGTGCTCAACAATGCATATTTATGTTTGTTTTCCTGGATCAGGCAAGGTTATTGGTTGAATTAGTCCCCATTAAATGATAAATCCAAGTGCTACCCACTGTGTCCTGTGAATGTGTGACCTCACCTGGAAATAGGCTCCTGGCTGATGCAATGGAGTCGAGATTAGGTCATACTGAGGATAGAGGGTGGACACTACTACAGTGTAACTGATGTCTTTATAAGAAGATGAGGAGAGACACAGAGACAGACACAGGGAGAAAGAGGCCATGTGACAACAGAGACAAAGATTGGAGTGAGGCGGCTACAAGGCAAGAAATACCAGAGGTTGCCCACCCCACTCCCACACCCCCTCGCCCCAGAACTGGGAAAAGTGAGCCCAGACTCCACTCTGAGCCTCAGAGGAGCATGACCTGCCACGCCTGGGTGTTGGACGTCCAGCCTCCAGAACTGTGAGAGAAAACGTTTCTGTTGTTTTCATCCAGACTGTTGGTGGTTCTCTGATACAGTGACCCTAATGCAAATGCTGAAGGAAATGTGAAAAAAAAAAAAAGGGACACAGTTTTTACCCTTAAAGAGTCTCCAGCATGAGTAGAAAGATTATCTAGCTTATGTGTGCTAGAAACAGTACATGACAGTTGTTGAAAGGAGAACGAGGTCAGCGTTGTTGTGTTGAGGTTATTGGTGAAGTTCTTATGCTCTAATGTCCAATGAAGGCCTCATACTATGCTTAAATATGTATATTTTAGATGTATAGTATTTTGAAGCTGAAATAGACTTAATTATCTGGCAGCTTGTAAAATGTGTCCTAAGGAGAGTGGGGCTTCTATAGAGTTGCTCCATCTCCACCTCCCACCTCTGACGCCTGCCTCCACCACTCCCCCGGCCTCTCTCCATGGCAGCCGTCCCCCTCAAACCTGGTCCATAAACACAGACATTCGCCTTTGAGGCATTGGCTGTTCTAATATTAGTCATCTGCCATGAAGCCGGCCTTCTCCCTAGTCTCTGATAACAGTGATTTCCTACGTTTGGGTGGGAGTTGCAAATCATTTTGTGTCCTGTACAAACACAATGTCTCTTGCCATTAACAACCTCTCTTAATATGCTTTTATTTTACCTTTTCTTTTTAATTTTTATTTATTTATTTTGCAAGCAGCAAAACCTCACTCTGAAGTAGAAAATGATTTTTAGGGGGAGGATTAGCTAGCTTGCTGAATTCTAAGACTTGAAACAAGATTTTAAAATGGACAGAATCAGGGGAAGCCAGATGGCCAAAATGCTGTCCCATAAGACATCCATTGAGGACAGCACAGCCATCACCATGAAAACTCATGAGACAGCTTGGAACACTGTGGCCGCTCTCAGCCTGGAAACCTCCCTCCACCATAGCATCCCTGGTACTACCCTCCTGGAAGCCAGAGACAGTGGTGCTACCGCTGTCTGCAGCCAAGCTGGGCTCCACAGACCAGCTCTGCGGCCTTCACCCTGGTGCATACTCCCTGACAAAGGCGTCTGCGTGGCTGAGCCTGGCAAGAACTTAGTCTCTGGTCTCTGCTGAACTGCAAGAGAGCAGAAAATAGAGTGTTGCATGTGCAGTGAGAAGAGAAAAGTGGGATGTTGGCCAGCACTCCCTACTTGTTTCTTTTTTGTTTGTTTGTGTGTTTGCCTTTTGCAAATGCAGATAGCACTCAGCAGCCCAGGATCTCATCATCAGAGCTCAGCACAGATGATCTGTATCAGAGTTTCATGTAAAATTTTATTCAAAAAATTGACTCTTGCAACCCAATGGCCCTGTCCAGTCGGCTCAATCTGCAGACTGCAAATGTTGGGGGTGTCAAGTGACTCACTCAAGGTCACGCAGCTCATTAGTGTGAGCCTATCCATCAGCGCAGGGCCCCCTCCTGCTCTCCATGGCAGCCAGTCGGCATCCTACCTGACAGGCTGAGAAGAACGCTCCCAGGATCCCGAGCACATGCATTTGGGGGAGGGTGAGATGATTCTAACAGCCGTGATGAGGAAAAGCCCCAGGAAATACCACATGGTTTTGAGAGACAATGATCAACACCGAGTGAAGGGTGACGGGTGAAAAATATATTGTGGATAATATATAGCCATCTCTTGCCTTTTGAATTAGATGTCAGTGTGTCCCCCTAAACTCTAAGATAGACACTCATGGAGAGGCATCAGAGAGGAGCTCAGAGGTTTGTTGCCTGATTGAGGACACTTCCAGGAGTGGTGAACCCTATGCTGAAAACCAAAGAAAATCTTCATTAGAAATTACCTAAAGATCTGTGCTTTGGAGAGCCAGATGCAACGAGGCCAGGTATGAAGATCATCGGATCTGTGCTGGGCAGCACAGACGGAAGGAGTCCCACAAAGCCACAGGGAGCAGCCCTATCTTAGCTCATCTCTCCAGATGAATCATGGTTTGGAAGGTGACTGCTTGGAGTTCCCTGTGCGAAACAAGACAGGAGCGGAGGCTGTCAGAGTCCTTTAGCTGCTTCTACATCAGGGCTTCCAGAGTATTCAGTGAGCTGCTGGAAGCCACAATGACAAAGGAGGCCACTACACGAGTGGGAGAAACTGGTGCTTTAAATTAAATTTTAAAAATCCAAGATAGTAGTTGTAAGCATTTTTAATTAGTTACATATCTGCTCATAAAATGTAGACATTTATTTGTTTCTACTATGCCTGAGAGCTAATAGAGCAAACTTTAAGTAAGGCAAGGAGTCTAGAAAAGGACAGAAGAACTGACCCACAGCCATGGGTCACATGGTAATAACAACAGAGAGGTATGTTTCCAAATGTTACTTATAAGTGACAGGATGATTCAAAATGATGAAAACTCTAGATAGGTCCTTATAATGGAAAAAAGACATGTTTAAATGCTGTGAACAGACTAGGTACGTTATCATAATGCCATTGTAATATCTTATGTAATGCCAGTTCATATAAACTTGAACATCTGAGCTTCAAGAAAAACACAAAGTCTGTAAAACATCAAATTCTGGGGGATAAGAGTAGAAAGTCATGAGAGATTCTATGACACCATAAGTAAAATTTGTTATTAATGCTTGTGCTTTTCCTGCACAAGCAGGTCCCATTTTTCTAGCAAAAATATTTCATTGATAACTCACATCTGGCAACCATGGCTGGCCTGAAAAGATATTTTCATTTATTTTGGGCGTGGTAACTGTAACAGAATCCTAGTGGTGTATAGAATCTACACCAGAGAAGAACAGGAATAAATAATACTATAATCTCAGTAAGTTTAATAATAGTTACCAATATGATCTCTAATAAATTTAACATTCTTTTAAATTTATTATAGGATAAGTTTCTAATCATCTGATGGATTATTTTTGCCCAATGCACAGATAAAACCAATTAACCAAGACTGTGGTATCACAGTAGAGAAAGACTGTAGTAAATTCAGGGCTAGCCAAGTGGAAGGATGGGAGACTATTACTCAAATCAGTGTCCCCAGTAACTCAGAGGCTAGGAGGTTTATGAATAAGTTGGTGGTCAGGGAGCTAGAGAATTGATGCTGCTGATTGGTGGATGAAATCACAGAGGTGTGGAAAAATTTCCTGGTTGCTGAGTCAGACTCTGGCTGGGGGCCATGGGACCAGTTGAGTCATGATTCATGGATCCTGGTGCAGTCAGTTGATCACCAGAATGCAAAAATCTGGAAACCATCTCAAAGACCAATTTTAAATTTTGACAATAGTGATGTTATCTATAGGAACAAGTAAGGAAAATTGAAAATCTTGTGAACTCTGGAACCACAGCTGATTATCCTTTAACTACACCTATGTTTTAGCAGAGTTTGGGCCTCTCCCATAATCCTAATCTTATGGCCTTTCATTGGTCTTACAAAGGCAGTTTCAGTCCAAGAAGAAAGGGGTCAATTTTAGGGTTAAACTTCTTTCCTTTATAGCTCATCCAGGCTTGGGCAGTTCTTTACAGCAGTGTGAAAACAGACTAACACAAATATTTTCCAAGAGGTAACGAACATTTTAAGAGAGAGGAGGAAAGCGTTACATTGCCATCTCTCAAAATGACTGATTTTTCATTAAGTATGTCAGAGAGCTCATTTTATTCCATTCTTTCCAGAATTGCATATTACCATTGAAGAAAAAATTACTAATCTCTTAAACTGAAAAATCATATTTTTGTTTTAATTTTGCTTTTTTTGGTTATTAAGTGGAATAATTTTAATAGTTTTGTTAATCATCTGTAATTCTTCTTTTCTAATAGTCAGGTTTTAATGAAGTTCCTATTGAATTTTAGCATTTTTTTCTTATCTACTTACATGGGCTGTTTCTACAATAGTTTATTACTCCTTCTTATATATTTGTTGCAATCATTTCCTTCGTTTACAATTGTTAAAGTTAGCTTTGTGATTATTTTAACATGTTTAAATTCAAATTTATATTTACTTTGTCTTTGTATTTTGTATTGATTTGGGTTTGAAAATGACTTTGATTTCCAGATCAGATATGTAGGTTGAGCATTCTTAATCTGAAAGTCCAAAATCCAAAATACTCCAAAATTTAAAACTTTTTGATCTTCAACATGACATTACATGTGGAAAATTTCACACTTCACCCTCATGTGATCTGATGCAGTCAAATCACAGTCAAAACTTTATTTCATGCACAGAATTATTTAAAATATTATATAAAATTACTTTCAGGCTGTGTGTATAAGGTGTGCATAAAACATAAATGAATTTTGTATTTAGACTTGGGCCCCTTCCTTAAGATACCTTATGTATACGCAAATATCTCAAAATTTAAAAAAAATCCAAAATCTGAAACTCTTCTGGTCCCAACTGTTGTAGTTAATATTGAGTACCAACTTGATTGGATTGAAGGATGCAAAGTCTGATTTCTGGGCGTGTCTGTGAGAGTGTTGCCAAAGGGATTAACTTTTGAATCAGTGGACTGGGAGAGACAGACCCACTCTCAATTTGGGTGGGCACCATCTAATCAGCTGCTGGCATGGCTAGAATAAAGCAGGCAGAAGTTGGAAGGACTTGATTTGCTGAGTCTTCTGGCCTTCACCTTTCTCCCGTGTTCAATGCTTCCTGCCCTGGAACATCAGAGTCCAAGTTCTTCAGCTTTTGGACTCTTGGACTTACACCAGTTAATTTGCCAGGGGCTTTCAGGTCTTCGGCCACAGACTGAAGGCTGCGCTGTCAACTTCCCTACTTTTGAGGTTTGGGGACTCGGACTGGCTTCCTTGCCCCTCAACTTGCAGACGGCCTATTGTGGGACTTCACCTTGTGATCATGTGAGTCAATTATCCTAATAAACTCCCCTTCATATGTACATCTATGCTGTTAGTCCTGTCCCTCTAGAGAATGCTAATACACCGCGCATTTTAGATAAGGACAATCCACCTATATATTCTCCTATATTTCTGTTTTTATTGTCTTGTTTTTATTTTTTAACACAAATATAAAATGTATTAGAATTTTAATATTTTTTATGATGTGCTGTAAATATAACCTTTTATTTCTAGGATGTCAACGTTAACTAAGAAAGCAAACTCAGCTTCTCATTTGTATGTAACTGTATTTAGCACCCTTAAATGACTTTCTTAAATAGCTCTACTCTTACCTTTTTTTTTTTTGAGACAAGGTCTTGCTCTGTCATTCAGGCTGAGTGCAGTGGTGTCATCGCGGCTCACTGCAGCCTCAACCTCCTAGGCTCAAGTGATCTTCAGCCTCCACAATAGCTGAGACTACAGGTGTGCCAACACACTCAGATAATTTTCTTTTCTTTTTTTTTATTGTTTTTGTAGAGACAGAGTCTCACTATGTTATCCAAGCTGGTCTCAAACTCCTGGCCTCAAGGGACCCTCCCACCTGGGCCTCCCAAAGTGCTGGGATTACAGGTGTGAGCCACTGTGGCCAGCCTACTCTTACTGTATTTTACATATAATTATATTTTAAATAATGGCATCTTTTTGAAATATAAGGAAAACATGAAAAATGTAAAATTCCTTATAAGATACAAGATTACAGATAAAATGGGATTTAATACTGCTGGTAACCATCTCCCTGCACCAGCTGAGTGATGAGGTCAGAGAATAAATCTGGTTAAATAGATCTGAAAATACTATGCTATCTGGTGGGGATGTGAGTGTTTAAAAGACCTACGAGATTAGCATAGTAAACTAGCATGAGTCATGCACAGCTGAAAAGATTAGCGCCTCTGCTGCCTTTTCAGCTAGACTATCAAATGCTAATGGCCTCCATGTAGGACTGACCTACTCTGATGAATAGTTTGCAATAATAACATGTAGACCAAGTTAACAAAAATGGCCATATTTATAATAAAAATGGCCATATTTATGATAAAAATGATCCCCCGTGTTTGTTTGCACATCTGAATATTCTGATACTGACTTATTTTCTCCTGTTGTTGTAGGCAGTAACACCTAATTCAAGGAAACCCAGAGAAAGGTACAGGAAACATACTAAGAACACAGGAACCTCTGGATCCAGGAAAGGTGACTGAGTCCACAATGCCTCTAACAGACCTGAAGATAAATCACAAGACAACAAAACGTCGCTGTCTCTTATTTGGTGCCCTATGGCTGAAAATGTGCAGTGTTTCTGATGTATGTCTTTATGGGGGCCTTTTAGGATAAAGAGAATCGTGTAAGTTAGGGCTTGCCTGACAGAGACATGATCTAGAATCAGTATCCTCGGATCTTCTCATCTCTACAGTTAACTCACGCCCAAGTCCCTGGAGGGCACAGACACAGCCCTGAGGATTTGTCTGCGGGGCTCTCAGCACCCTTGAGGATTTCCATTAGTGAGACAAATCGCGAATTCACTGCAGCCAAATGTTGCACATTTCATGATTAAAGACAAGTATCTCCAGACTGGGCTTCATTTATTTCTCCTGCAGTGACATATGTGTGGATTTGTATTTTTTCATTACTACACAAATACAAGCAGTTTATGAAATGCTGAAGGAATTATCAAAGTTAAATCTCCCATTCTATGGCTATGCGAAGAATTTTCTTGTTTCTTGCTTCATAAAAACACAAGCCACTATCTAATGATCTAATGAAAAAATCTATTTAATTACATTGTTTAAAAAGTGAAATTAGAATTTGGCACATCTGCTCAATACCTCAGGTGGAGTTAAACCCTTGCTTTCTGAAATAAAGGGTACTGTAGAAATGTGTACCACCAATTGTCCCAAGTTATTGGTTAGTAATGCAAATGGCACTGGATCATAACATCAAAGTTGTTGTTTTGGTTCAGATAATTGTACTATGCATTTCCAGGCTAGCAGACCATTCATTTGTATTTTCACCCATCCTAATACTTAAGTGTCTACTAGATGCTGGCCACCATGGAGGAGCTGGGAATACAGTGGTAAACAAGAGTGCTGGAGCCCAGGGAGCTTGCTATGATACACACCACCACCATGGTCCCAGTAATTCCTGCTGGCATTCAAGCCCTTGTGTAATCTCCTCCTCCTTTTGTGCACATGGAATGGACCCAATGACTGTTTTCTAACAGAATTTGACAAGAATTCTGGAATGTCATTTTCCAGATTAGGTCACCAGTGGCTTCTTTCTTGGGCGCTATCTCTTCCCTCTGTCTCATTTGCTCTGCAAGAAGACCTGCCATATTGTGAGCTGCCTGAGAGAGGTCCACAGTGGAAGAAACCGATACCCCCCAAGGACCATCAAGGACCAACATCCAATGAGTAGACCTGGGGCCGGACACACTGAGTGAGCCCGATGTAGCTACCTGCCCTTGGCCAATAACTTTATTACAGTCTGATGGAGACCCCCAGCTAGGGGCACGTGGCTAAGCCACTCCCAGATCCCTGCCCCACAATAATGTTGAGGGGATGCATGTTTGCTATCTAAGGTTGCAGACTTTGGTGGTAGTTTGCTATGCAGAAATAGGTGACTTACACACTTACGTGCTAGAGCCAGGGTCAGATAATGGACAGATACATCCATGTATGATATGATGTCAGACTGATCTTTCTGCTTTCATGATTTTCTCTTTATCATTGATTTTGGGAGATTTGATTGTGATATTCCTTGGTGGTGTTTCCTTTATGTTTCTAATACTTAGGGGGATTTTAGACTCTTGGAAGTACGAGTATAATTTTCATTAAATTTGGATACGTTCTAGCCATTATTTCTTCACATATATTTTCTAGTCCCTCCTTACTCTTCAGGGACTCTAATTACTCATTTTAGGGTGATATAAAGTTGTCCCACAGCTCACTCCTGCTTTGCTGATTTTTAAAAATTGATTTTTCACTCCGTGTTTCATTCTGGATCATTTGTATTTCTAAGTCTTCACATTCACTAATTCCTCTTTCTGCAAGGTCTAATTCACTTTTATTCTATCCAGGAAATTTTACATGACCTATACTGTAATTTTCATCCCTAGAAGTTTGATTGGGGTCTTTTTTATGCATTCCCTGTCTTCACTTGACTTTTTGAAATATGGAAATACAGTTATAATAACTGTTTTAATGTAATTTTCTGCCAATTCTCACATTTGTGTCAGGGCTGGGTCAATTTTGAAGGATGGATGGATGGGTGGATGGATGGATGGATGGATGGATGGATGGATGGATGGAAGAATTTAGTCCTCATTATGAGTCATTTTCCTATTTCTTTACATGCCTGGTAATTTTTTATTGGATGCCCAGGTTTGTAAATTTTAACTTGTGTGCTTGATTTTTTTTTAACTCCTATAAATGTCCTTGAACTTTATTCTGGAATGCAGTTCAGTTACTTGGAAACAGTTTAAAATTTTTAAATTTTTATTTACTTTTTTATTCAGGGCATTGCTCAGTTTAGTGCAAATTATTCCCAACCCTGCAACCAGACACTTCAGCACAGTCTACAGGCTGCTTGTGAATGTGGAGTTTTTCCCGTCTGCCTGTGGAAAGAGACACTATTCTCAGCACTGTTACTACTGATCCTTCTGGGTGGCTCCTCTGTGGCCCCGGTGAGTTTCTTGGCATGCGTGTGGTTGTAAGGGACTCCACTGAATGCTCCCTGGGGACCCTGGGAAAGATGCTGTGCAGCTTCCTCTTCTGTGTTACCCCAACCTGTGAACTCAAGTACCTTCTCCTTCCAAGACTCTTATCCCGGTCTTCTCAACTCAGGGAGTCTGCAGGAGCCCCTCCTGTCTACTACTCCCTTCCATATGGCTTATAAACCCTCTCAAGTCGGTGAAATAGGACGGTCATAGGATTCACTTTATTTTTCTACTTTTGTGGATCACTGTCCACTTGTCTGATACCTATTGCCTTGCTAACCATGGTTTCACATATTTTGTCTGCTGGAGGTTGTTTGTAGTGGGAGGATATATCCCTGTACTCCATCTCATCCAGAAGTGCAAGGATGATATATGTTTATTCTTAATGAGATTTTTGTTTAGATATAATTATAGATTTACATTTAGTTGTACCAAATAATACAGAGAGAGCTTATGCACCCATTTATCTAATTTCTTCCAATGGTAACATCTTGTATAACATTGGACAATATCACAACCAGGATGTCGACATTAGTAAAGTCACAACATGGTACATTTCTGTGATATTCGGTGTCAACTTGATTGGATTGAAGGATGCAAAGTATTGTTTCTGGGTGTGTCTGTAAAGGTGTTGCCAGAGAAGATTAACATTTGGATCAGTGGACTGGGAGAGACAGCTCACCCTCAGTCTGGGTGGGCACAATCCAATTGGCTGGCAGCACAGCTAGAAAAAGCAGGCAGAAGAAGGTGGAATTAGCTGACTTGCTGAGTCTTCCGGCCTTCATCTTTCCCCTGTGCTGAATACTTCCTGCCCTCAAACATCGGACTCCAAGCTCTTCAGCTTTTGGACTCTTGGACTTACACCAGTGGTTTAACAGGGACTCTCAGGCCTTCAGACACAGACTAAAG
This sequence comes from Homo sapiens, assembly GCF_000001405.40. Taxonomy (NCBI): domain Eukaryota; kingdom Metazoa; phylum Chordata; class Mammalia; order Primates; family Hominidae; genus Homo; species Homo sapiens. The sequence continues at coordinate 164,760,102 of NC_000006.12, forward strand.
GCTGCACTGTTGGCTTCCCTACTTTTGAGGTTTTGGGACTCGGACTGAGCCACTGCTGACTTCCTATCTCCTCAGTTTGCAGAGATGGCCTATCATAGGGCTTCACCTTAGCATCGTGTGAGTCACTTCTCAATAGACTCTCTTTCATATATATACATATATCCTATTAGTTCTATCCCTCTAGAGAACCCTGACAGATACAATTTTTATCATCACAAAGATCTCTCATATTGCTTTTTTTTCTTCTGCCCCACATATCCCCTCCTTAACTTTGGCAGCCACTAATCTTTTCTGTTTGTATAATTATGTCATTTGAAGAATCTTATATAAATGGAATTATACAACATATAAACACTTGGGACTTGTTTTTTCACTCAGCATAATTCTCAAGAGATTCATCCATGTTGTATACATCAGTGGTTTATCCTTTGTTATTGCTAAGTAGTATTCCAAAATATGGACGTATCAAAGTTTAACTGTTCACCCATTGAGGGATATCTGGGTCATTTCAAGTTTCTGTAATGATCATAAATGGTATTGTGTTTTTAACTTCAGTGTACACGTGCTTGTTGCTAGTATACTAAAATACAGTTGAATTTTGTATGTTTATCTTATATTCTATGGCATTGGTAAGCTCTAAATTAGTTCTAGTAATATTTTTACTAGCATTTGGGAATTACTCTACATCTATAATCATGCAATCTACAAATGGGAGTAGTTTTATTTCTTTCCTTTAGATTTGTATGCACTTTATTTATTTTTCTTGTTTAATTGCACTGGCTAGACCTTCCTGTATATGTTGAGTGAAAGTAGTGAGAGCCGATATCTGTGCCTTGATATAGATCTTAGGAGAAAGTCATTCAGTGTTTCCTAATTAAGTATAATGATATCTGTAGTTATTTTGTATATGTTTTTTGTCAAGTGGAGGAAGTCCTTTCTTGACTGTTTTTTGAGAGTTTTTATCATAAGTGGGTATTTGATTGTGAAGTTGTCTGTTTTTTTTCTTTCAGTTCAATCAGTTTTCACTTTAAGTATTTTGCAGCTCTGTTGTCTGGAAAATACATGTTTAGGATTTTTATATCTTTCTTGGTGGACTGACACTTTTATCGTTGTATTATATCTCTATATTTCGATTTATTATAATTTTTTTCTTTTTCCTGGAGCCATTCTTTCATGTTAAGTATTCTGAAAATAAATAATCTCTTTATTTTTTTTGAACTGATGATGTCTCGATCCCCCTTCATTCCTGAAAGATACTTTCACTGGACATGAAATTGTTGAGTTGACGGTTGTTTTCTTTCAGCCTGTGAAAAACGTGCCACTTTCTTTTGGCATTTGTTGTTCCTGGTAAGAAATACACTGTCATTTTATTAGTCCTTTCCCTATGGTTAAGGTGTCATTGCTCTCTCACTAATTTTAATATTTTTTTCTTTTTCTTTAGTTTCCAGATGTTTGGCTATGATGAGTCTTAGTATGAATTTCTTTGACTTTATCTTGTTTCTGTTTCACTCGGCCCCTTGAATCTGTGGTTTTATGTCTTTCACTACATTTGAGAAGCTTCCAGCCATTATTTTTTAAAGTACTTTTTAACTCCACCTATTTTCTCTTCTCTGCTGGGATTTTGATAACATAAATGTATATTTTGTTAAAGTCCTATCGGTGTCTGATGCTCTCTTGCTTATTTTCAGTCTATTTTCTCTCTGTTGCTCAGACTGGGTAAGTTCTAACATCCTATCTTCAATTTTCCCATTGGTAAAGATTGAATTTAGGGTCCAACAAAATTTCATGTTAGAGCCTCAAGCCCAGTGTGGCTGTATTTGGATGTGGGTCCTTCAAGGAAGTGACTAAGGTTAAATGAGATCATAAGGGTGGAATTCTGATCTGATAGAATTTGTATCCTTAACAGAGAGCTTGTGCTTGTGCAGGCATCTCTCTCTCTCTCTCTCCCTCTCTCCCTCTCTCTTTCCCCCTACCCCACTTCTCTCTTTGTATTTATGCACATACCAAATAAAAGTCATGGGAAGACACAGTGGGAAGGCAGCTGTCTGCAAGCCAGGAAGCAAGCCCTCACCAGAAATCACATTGGCCAGAACATTGATCTTGGACTACTCAATTTTCAGAACTGTGAGAAATATATTTCTATTGTTTAAGCAACCCAGTCTGTGGTATTTTATATGGCAGCCTGAACAGATCGATTTTAGTACTAAAAATATTAGTGGGTGCTTCTGTAACAAATACCTGAAAATGAGGAAGCAGCTTCAGAATTGGGCCATGTGTAAAGGCTAGAGGAGTTTTGGGGTACATACCAGAAAAAGCCTAGATTACCATGAAGGGACTATTGGTGGAAATGTGTACGTTAAAGTTGACTCTGGGGAGGAGAGCAAGAAAATAGAAGGCCTGGAGAGAAAGTCTTCGTCTTCTTGAGAATGCATATATCATCATAAACAGATTGTTGGTAGAAATATGGATGGGAATGGTCATTCTAGTATGGTCTCAGGTGGAAATGAGGAACAGGTTATTGGAAACTGGAGTAAAGGTGATCCTTGTTATAAAGTGGCAAGCACCTTGGCTAAACTGTGTCCTGGCATTTTGTGGAAGGTGGACTTTGACAGTGATGAAATTGGACATTTAGCTGAGGAGATTTCTAAGAAAAATATTGAAGAAGCATATTCGGTTTTCCTTACATTAGGAGTAAGATATGAGAGAAGAGAGGTAAATTGAAGAAAGTATTCAGCAAAAGGGAGCCAGAACTTGATGATTTAGAAAATTCCCAGACCATCCATATTGCAAAAAAGGAGAAAACAAGTTCCAAAGAGAACACTACAGATGTAGATGAACAACTACTTGATAAGATTCATGTTTCTGTAAACCGCAAATGGAATCAACCACTTCAGCGGAAGCCAGAAGTAGAGATGGGATTATACCTGCAGAGACACTGCCAGTTTGAAGTAAGGGAACCTAAGAAAGCATGACACAATGAAAGGAGGCTATTGGATTTCTGGAATCTACAGAAGGGGACCAGAAAGCTATTGAGCTGTGAACATGCTTCATCCTTTAAGAAAAAGAAAAGAAAAGAATGTCCCTGAAGGTGATTCAGAGGTTATTAGGGCTTCCTCCTCTGTTTCAAAGAGGAAGCTACCACCTCTGTTTCAATGGGCTTGGCTGCTCTCACCAAAGTCCTTATAGGCAGAACCACCTGGCAAAGTCCCAAAGGCAGGGCCACCACAGCTGAAGGAGCAGGTCTTCCCTGCAGAACTATGGGGGTGATGCTGCCATCTCAGTGGGCCTGGAAGAAGAAGCATTGATCCAAAGTTTATTCTTGTCTTCAGATCTACTGGAATTTACCTGCTAGGTTTTGGGCTTGCACGGGATCCATCAACTCTTTCTTCTTTCCTGTTTCTTCCTTTGGAATAGGAATGTCCATGCTGTGCCTGTCTAGCCATTATATTTTGGAAGTACATACTTGTCTGTTTTCACATGTTCACAGATAGAGAGGTGATAGGGTTTGGCTGTGTCCCCACCCAAATCTCATCTTGAATTGTAGCTCCAATAATTCCCACATGTTGTGGGTGGGACCCAGTGGGAGATCATTGAATCATGGGGGCAGTTTTCTCCATATTGCTTTCATGGTAGTGAGTAAGTCTCATGAGATCTTATAGTTTTATAAGAGGAAAACCCTTTTGCTTGGTTCTCATTTTCTCCATTGTCTGCCACCATGTAAGACATGCTTTTCACCTTCCACCATGATTGTGAGGCCTCCCCAGCCATGCGGAACTTGAGTCCATCAAATCTCTTTTTCTTTATAAATCACCCACTCTTGGGTATTTCTTTATCTGCAGTGTGAAAAAGGACTAATACAAGAGGCATTCTACCTCATGATGAATCATACCTTGAGTCTCACCCATGTCTGATTTAGATGAGTTTAGATGAGAGTTTGGACTTTAGACTTTAGGGTTGATGCTGGAATGAGTTAAAACATTCAGGGCTGTCAGGATGATATTTGCACACAAGGAGAACATGAATTTCTGGAGGTTGGAGGTGGAATGTTATGGACTGAATGTTTGTGTCCTCCCAAATTCTTATGCTGAAGCCCTAACCCCCAGTGTGGCTGTCTTTAGAGCTGGGGAGTCTAAGGAAGTAATTAAGATTAAATGAGTCCGTAAGGGTGGGGTCCTTATCAGGTAGGATTAATTTCCTTATAAGATGAGACATCAGAGAGCCCGCTCTTACTGTGAGTGCTCCAAAGAAAGACCATGTGAGGATGCAGCAAGCAGGTGGCCATCTGCAAGCCCGAAAGAGAACCCTGGCTGGACACGGATCAGCTGGAACTTGGATTATGGGCTTCCGAACCTCTAGAACTGTGAGGAATAAGTTTCTGTGTAAGCCATCCGGTCTGTGGTAGTTTGTTAAGGCAGCCAACAGACTAAGACAATAGCCAGCATGCACCCCTCCATTCAGCTGTCAAGCCTTCCATTGAGTGTTTTATTTCAGCTCTGTGCAGTAATTGTAGTCATGATACAAAGTAAACACAAAAATATTGTAGCAAACAAAAACTCACAAGGAATGCAAAATCATCACTTAAAGGTTGGCAAACACGAAGGCTTGATCTCAAAGAAACAAACAAAAATCCTGGGCCTAAGACATTGGGTTTTGGTGTCTTTGGAAATTATCTAAAATGTGTCAGTTAATGGCTCAATACAACTGTGATTGATTAGCCAGTCATTTGTGGGATGATCATAGTTACTCAGCATTCTCTCTTAAATGCTTACTCTTTAAATAAGTTACTGAATTATCTGCATGTATTTAATAAATAAATATTTATTAAGGGCCCTTTATTTCCTTGGTGCCATTCTAAGCATGGAGATTAGATTAAAAAAATATAATGTACTTAATACCTATATTGATTGTATTTTGGTTTTAGCCTTATAATTATGAAAAAGAAAAGTCCTCAGTATGTAGGGTGTGTATTGTGGGCACTGATATAATGAGTACTTAAAAAATTTCTTCTTCTTTATTTCTAGTAGAAGCTGTTTCTTACTCTTGTTTATAACAGAAAGGAAAGAATAAGTGTTAAATATATGCAGCATAAAGTCTCTCTTGGACTCCATCTCCATGTAGAATTATTCCTGAAAAATAGCAGTGACTCAAAAGGCTCCCTGATCCTCACAGGTGGTCAGAGGTTTCAGTGTGGCAGCTGGCAAGCCCAACCCACCGCTGCGGAGCGGCAGCAGGGGGACCACTAGAAAGAGCCAGTTGGAAGGATTTACTTTCAGTTTGTTTTTTTTTTCCCCTTAATCAATGGAAAAATATCTGTAATAGTTAGCCTGATAAGTGGAAAAAGGGAAATGTAAGACTCAAATTATTGGTTCATAAAATAAAGCTCCAGACAATTCTGTTTTATTATACAGAATGGATTGGTTGTGGTCTGTTAGCAGGCAGAGACACTATGCATACAGATACCATAATAATAGTAAAGAATGGTTGAGTGGAGAACCAGTGCCTCTGTTCCAATTATTTTTATAATTGCTGTCTATCTACTATCTCTACAGATATTCCATAAACAGTGTGCAACACTAACTCCATCCTTTCGTTGCATTTGTTATTATTTTTGCTATAGACAAAATTTTCAACCATGCAGAAACAAAAGTTTAAAACCGTTACATTGTTCTCTGCATTTACAGGTTTGCAGTAATGTAGGGTAATTAGACATGCTGTTAAATGACCAAATTAAACACATCATGTTTTGGTAAAGAAACAAACCCAAGAAGTAGTAAAGATGGTGGGGAATTCCTGAATCCCAAAAGCCTTCTTAATTTTGACCATTGGACGTTCATATATGTGTGTGTGTGTAGTAATTCAAATCAGAAAAACAACCAAAAGGGGCCAGCTCTCAAAATCCAGGCACTTTAGTGAGACAAAGGCTATTTCAGATTTCAAGGGCTCAACTCTGTGGATTAATATCTTGCCATTCAAAGAGGTAGTTACTACTGTGAGGTCATTTATTGATTCCGTTAACAAATATGTGTTGACTACTTACGATGGGCCAGGGACGGCTTTGATGCTGAGGGTCAGCGGATTTCAAAGCTAACTATGTAAGAATTTACATATGTAATATGTAGTTATTATATGTAAATATATAATTACATATTTTAGATTTCAAAGCTAAATATGTAATAAATATTTAATGTGTTGCCAGAAACATTTTTCCCTGAGCAGCAACTGAACAGTGGGAAACCACTCAGCTGGAGGCATGGTCCTATTGGCCCTGCTGGCCTACTGTCCGGCAGTTTTGATATATCAGCATTCATTGAAGATAAAATTGCTTTTCCCTGTAGTTTTTGTTTGTCTCAAAACCAGTCTAAGACATGCTTTCTTCATTTGAGAGATGTCCAGAAGAGGGCTTGAAAAAGAAGACCAAATACAGTGTTGTCAGTGGTGCACCAGGATTGGGAAGGGTAAAAATGTCCACAGAAGACAGAATAGACAAGAGACTAGCTGAAGGATCAATGTATCTGTACATAAGCAGACAACTAATAATAATAGTAAAGAATGGTTGAGTTTCCAAACCTACTGCTTTGTAAAAACAAACAGAACAAAAACCACCCTAAATCTTAGTGGCTCAAAACAACCATAATGTTTCTGCTGATCTTGCTTGGCTCACATATATGACTGCATCAGCCAGCCATTCAGACCTGGATGGAATTCTGATGTGTCCTCACATACTCGTGGTGGGAGCTGATGGGGGGCTGGAAGTTTCTTCTCTTTTCTCCCACCACTCTCTCACCCCTTTCTCTCCCACCACTCTCTCACCCCTTTCTCTCCCTGCACCCTTCTCCATTTATTCACTAGGCTGGCTCAGCCTTCTGTATTTGGCAGCAGGGCAATCTAAGGAACTGAAGGCAGAAGCTGCAAGCTCCTGAGACCCAGGCTCTGAATCTTCCACAGTGTCACTTCTGCCAGGTTCTGCTGGTGAACGCAAATCACAGGGAACAGATCTAATGGTCAGTGACATAGACTGTATCATCTCTTAAAGGGAGTTATGCAGAAAATTGTGACCATATTTGATCTACAGCACCTATTAAGGACTGCGTGTCCTGTGTATAAGAACATAATTATGTAAATATATGATATACATATTTCAAAATAACTTCTGTTGAATAAGAGATGACTGGAAATTAAAACACCTAAAAGAAGAAAAGACCGTGAGAGAGTGCAAAATAGGCTTTTGTATCATGTTGAAACAATGTAAAGCTTGTAGTAAAGTTGCAAGAATTGTTTGAAGAACTTCCATCTGTCATTTATTTGAATTTCCCAAATGCAAATATTTTACCACATTTGCTTCAGCAGTAGAATAAGGATGAATGGGTACATATAAATTCAGGAAGTAGATTAGTAGCTGTGGGTGGGATAGTGAGAATGGGAAGTGAGTACTGATGGGTAAGGGGTTTCTTTGAGCAGGATGTAAAAATGTATAGAATTAAAACACGGTCTTGAGTGGTACAACTCAGGGGGTATACTAAAAACACGAAATTCTACACTTTTGATGAGTTAATTTTATGGTATGTGATTTATATCTTAATAAAACTCTTTAAAAATACTATACATGAGTACTAGGTGAACAAATGTCATTATTAATGAAATCAAATGAAAAGTTGTGG